>NC_000002.12:18115815-18267331 GCF_000001405.40 Homo sapiens | reverse complement strand
ACATGCACTCACTTAAACAATTCTTTTAAATGATGAGGAAGTCAGGGGATCTAGACTTGAATAAACTCCATTAATTCAAGTCTCTCTTCAAACGTCACCTCTTCAGAGTCACTGTCTAAATACCCTCATTATGCTGCATTGCATTACCTACTATTCTTCTCCAGAGTGTGCATCTGTATAGGTATCTATGTGTTTATTTGTCTGTCTGTGATGGTTAATATTGAGTGTCAACTTGATTGGATTGAAGGATGCAAAGTATTGTTCCTGGGTGTGTCTGTGAGGATGTTGCCAAAGGAGATTAACATTTGAGTCAGTGGACTAGAAGAGGCAGACCCACCCTCGATCTGGGTGGGCAGCTGCCAGCGCGGCTAGAATGAAGCAGGCAGAAGAACGTGGAAGGACTAGACTTGCCAAGTTTTCTGGCTTTCATCTTTCTCCCATGCTGGATGCTTCCTGCCCTCAAACATCAGATGCCAAGTTCTTCAGCTTTTGGACTCTTGGACTTAACACCAACGATTTGGCACGGGCTCTCACGTCTTCAACCACAGACTGAAGCCTGCACTCTCAGCTTCCCTGCTTTTGAGGTTTTGGGACTCGGACTGGCTTCCTTGCTCCTCATCTGGCAGATGGTCCATTGTGGGACTTTACCTTGCGATCCTGTGACTCAATACTCCTTAATAAACTCGCCTTTATATATACATCTATCCTATTAGTTCTGTCCCTCTAGGGAACACTGACTAATACACTCACTAAAACGGAAGCTCCATGAGGGCAGGTTCTTTGTTTTGTGTTGCTCTCCATTATTGTCTCAGTCCTAGAAAAGAATCTGGCAGTGTAGTTGGCACTTAATGAATATTTGTGGACTGAATAATTGAGTAAATGAAGGAGACTCGCTTTCTCCCTAGGAGTCCTACAGATCGTGGCTGCAACTACCCTGCTGGCCTCCAGGGGTGCTGACCCCCTCCTTTAAACTTTTACCCCAGAAGAAATTCTGGTCAATGTTTAATTCTCTGCAGCACAGCTGAGATCAGCCAGGAACAATTAAATAACCCTCTACTAAATGCTTTGGAATTTTAAAAAGGGAATTAAATATGCCGGCGTGTGACTAGATAATTAGATAACAAATCTAGCTGTCTCTCCAAAACCCACAGGCCCAATACCATCTTCAGGAGGCTCAGAAAAGATGAGAGAGATCTCAAATTCTGCTTTGTCATACTTGTGCTTTTTTTCTCTTCCTTCTGCTTTTCTCTGTCCTCCTGCCCCACTCTGCACATAGGCCCACAGATGCAGGCACACTTCCAGAGAAGAAAAGCCACAATGTGTGCCACCACATACATGTTCATGAAAGCATGTTAGCTTGGATTTAGGAGAATGCAGCCTAGTGTGATTTTAGGACACTAGGAAAGACTTATCTGAGTCCCTGTTCCTGAAATAGTTATAATAAGGGATGATCTCTAGACCTCATGTGAAAGCTGCATCTCAGAGGACAAGTTCCTTGTGAGGAGAGAACATAACAAGCACAGCCAGAGGCAGAGGTGACCGGTGATTGACCATGCCACAAGTGGCGTGGTGATGACTGTGGCAGATTGTAACCTTCCAAAAATATTTTCCACAGTACCTCCAACCCTGTGTATTTTCCTAGAATATTTCCTTCTCATCTATCAACAGGTAGAGTTTCATACTCCTCTCTTTCAATGAGTGTGTTCATGCCTTGCTTATAACCAGTCAAATGCACCAGAAATTATACTGAGTGACTTGTGAAGCTGGATCATAAAAGGCAATGTAGCTTCCATCTTGCTAGATAGGATAATCATTTTGAAAGACTTCAGCCTCCATGTAAGAAATCCAATTGGCCTGAAACTACCATGCTGTGAAGTCCAACTTAGACCACAGTTGGGGAGACTCTGAGATGAACTGAACAGAGAGAGATGCTTGGCCAGCACCAGACAGCTCCAGAAAGCAAAGCGCACCTAGTCTTCCAAATTTGGGGTATTTATTCTACACTCCAACCAAATCACCCATAACTTGGTGACAGAAGTTGCAGATGATAATCCTGCTGCCTTAATCCATTTGGCTTCATCTTGGCACTCCTTATAGCTGTGGCTGGCAGGATGAATGCTGTTAGTCTGGCTTCCAGCAAGAAGTGGGCACCAAAGGAAGCAGGGAATGTTCTCCTGTGAGTGGGGTTCATCCTAGACTATACATGTCTTGTTTCCAGCTGCACAGTCTTCCATCTCAGACAAAGCTTATTAGATATAAAATTGGTGATGACTTAGATGGAAGACAGTGCAGTTCATCCTGCCAGCCACAGCTATAAGACACACCCTTTATGGTATTCTTCACTGTGAGAGCAAGTCATTCCCCAGTTCCCACAATTTCACACAATGTTAACTTTACCCCTGACAAGATAGACTTGTGTCCTCACCTGCCAGTATATGGATAGTTAAGATTCCACAGGCTGTGTTTTTAATCTTCAGATTGGCCATATTTGGAAGCTGCCACAGAATAGGCTTACTTGAAAAAAAATGTAACAATTCAATGTAAATATTTTTTTAATAAGCACAAAAGAAAAAGCCATTGGGACTCAATATCTTAAGATAATCTGGCTGAAATCCAGTTAGAATTTGGAATGTGCATAAATTTTCCTTGGCACTTGCATGTATTTTTCAAAATAAAGTTGGATATTTTTTCACTTTTTCAGACCCACCCAGCTCCATTTTTCTGACTCTTTCATTACAGCCTCTTCCATCTCAGTAGACCGGCTTTACCATGCATAGCACAGTTAGCACATGAGAACATAAATTCCTCATGTACACAAGTGACTGACTTAATGATGTTTTTCTGCTTTTGCCATTCTTAAAAACAAACATAAATGGAGCTAATGCTTACAGACCTCCCTGCTAGATATAATTTACCTATATGGTATTTACTTCAATGGGCACCCCCTGGCCACCCCATTCACACACATATCAGTCCTTCCTTATCTACTTTTTGTCACCTTGTCCTATGCTACAACAAAAATATACTGATGGTAATTACATTCTCTTTTAAAAATGGTTAGTCCTCTGAAAGCATATTTGGTTTTAATACATAAAGGTGAAATAGTCATCTTATTACTATTCCAACAAGAGTTGACCATACTGAAGAGATGAGAATTTTAATTTGGGAAGATGAGAAGATAGGAATTTGAAAGCATGAAGTGGTTGGAGGTAAAGAGACAAGCCGGGACATGGCATAGCACAGTACAGGGTATAGCACTCTGTGTGCACCAGGAAATGGGTGAGAATTCAAATAGTTGGAATGAGAAGAGGTTAAAAAAATACACATTTTCTACTGAAAAGTAGACCTGAAAAAGAAGGAGGATTCTTCCTTTCTTCCACTTACATATTTATGCCTCCTACTACACTGTAAGCCTATACGACATGGCTCCAACCTCCATGACCTAGGTCTTAGGATACCCCAACTATGAGAAAAGTTCAGTAACATACTGTGGGCTACAGAGATCTGTGTACATCATCCTGGAAATCCACACATCATCTACACCATTTCTAACAGGATATACTTTATGAATTCCAATTGACTGAGAAAAACACAATACTTTAAAATCATTTTGAAATTATTTACACATTTCCCTATTCAGTCCTCAAAAGTTACCAAACCAAAGGCAAAAGCCAAAACAACAAAATTCCAGATATCCAAACATGGCCCATGACAATATATGATATGAAACACAGGCATGACAACATCAAATGTCACATAGCTCATAAAATCAAGAGAAGAGGTATTTTATATTCTCAGTCTATTTAGTGAATTTTTTAAATTTTTGTAGAGATGGGAGTCTTGCTTTGTTGCTCAGGCTGGTCTTGAACTCCTGGCTTCAAGCAATCCTCCTGCCTCAGCCTCCCAGAGTGCTGGGATTATAGGTGTGAGCCACCACACTTGGCCCCTAATTTAATCAGAATTTCTACATACCAAATTTGCACTCAAATTTAGATGACATACAAATTTCTATTTAAAAAATAATTTCTGAATAGGTCACTTAATAAAGAGAAGAGATTGGCCAAAAACAAAACAAACAATAACTTTCACTCTAAATCAGCAATCTTCACTCTTTAAAAAAATTAAAATAAATGGCATAATTTTTAGTAAAACAGTTTTGAGGAAACTGAATTGCCAACATAAGGAAAGTGCTCTCTGTTTTTCTGCTTTAAGTTTATTACTAAACTAATTATTCAATCTGATCCTAAAGAAAAAAAAAACTCACTCTTTGCTGTTAATCCAAATTTAAATTTTCATAAAAAGTACGTTGGAGGTTAGAATCAATTTGGTGTTACGTTTTCGTGTCTTTATAACATGGCATAAATACAAAAGCTGTAATATCAAGTTTATAAAAACAGCAATGTTGCTGATGTTTGAAATTTAATATGTTACTAAAACAAGGTAATTTGCAATCTCTAAGGCATATAAAAATGCAGTTTTCTGAATGTTTCTTCCTCTATCTGCTCTCACTCAAGTACACATTCCAAGATAGTGTTCTCATTTTTCTGATGAGATCATTAAAAACAGAGCTTAGCAGTAGCACCCAGAACAGGAAACGCCAACTCTTTTGACAGCAAAGGGTTAAGTCAACTGATTTTTTTCTGTCAAGAGCCAGAGAAATACTTGATATTCTTAGTTGCGTTTCTGTAATAGTTAACAAATTACATGACAAAAACCTGACTATATAAATCTATTGGTCTAACTACGTATTTGTAACTTTTATAGTAGTCCAGCCCTTTCGTTACTTTCCCTCCTTGTGCTCTTAAAGCCAGCCTTGCAGATCTGCCGAGAAAACAAATCCCATTTTTTTCTTTAGAATAGCCTTCCCCATTCCTCAAAATGGAACTGAGGAAATCAGCGTTCCTTATTAGATTCCTAGCTTCAGTTTTTATCCACGGCTGGGAAAGGGTGCTACTGCCAAACGTTCTGGTACTTAGAGTCGGGATGCACAAATTCAACCACCGACTTATCAATGCAGCCGCCTATGTATTGCAATTGGCCGTTACCTTAAGCACTGAGCCACCCGGGTTTAGTTCAGCCATTTCAAGAAGTATATTTAACATCGGTAGTTCTGCTTTATTAAAATGCAGCAGAGGTATTCTTCTGTCCCTTCCGTTTATAGTTCTCTGAGAGAGTTCTATTTTTTGGTTTTGTTTTGTGTTTTCTTTTGCATTTTGTATCTTGTATTTATCCCTGAACATGTTTTGTACTTTTTTTTTTTTTAAGAAAAGGAATTCTTTTGTGTATATATAGATACTTGCAAGATATACTGTAGTCAACGTTCGGTTCCTCGAAAGGTCTTGCTGCTGTCAGGTGTTATGCACTCCATCCATCATAACTGTATGAAACACATTTCATATGTAAATAAACATGGGACATTTGGCCCTTGTGAAAAAAAAATAAAAAATAAAAACAGAGCTTATGGGTGGAAGTGGTCTATCATGTTACAGGCCCTGATATAGCACCTTTCCCACTTTCCTATTAAAATGCCCATTGTAGGCCGGGTGCGGTAGCTCCACCTGTAATTCCAAACTTTGGGAGACTGAGGCAGGCGGATCACTTGAGCCTAGGAGTCCAAGACCAGTCTGGCCATGGCCAGTATGGCAAAACCCTGTCTCTACTAAAAAATGCAAATATTAGCTAGGCATGGTGGTGCACCGCCTGCAATCCCAGCTACTTGGGAGGCTGAGGCACAAAAATCGCTTGAACTTGGGAGGCAGAGGTTGCAGTGAGCTGAGTTTGCTCCACTGTACTCCAGGCTGGGCAACAGAGTGAGACTGTAGACATTATAGACAAAGTTATAACTTTGAATACTGAGGAGTGTAGGTAAGCAATAAACAAAACCATTAATTCAGGCATTAGCACATATTTGTGAAAGTCGGCTATGTGTCAGGCACCATGGAGATGATGGGAATACAGAGTTGGGGAGACATAGTTGCTGCCCTCAGGCAGCTGCCATCTAGGAAAGGACAGCAAACCCTGGTGCCTTGGGGGAAGGTCCACTAAATGAAGCTATAAGACAACTGTTTGAGAGAAACCCATGTTCTGAAACAGCCGAATTATGCCAGCCAGGAATTAGCTGTGAATATAATTCCAATCCACTCCATTGGCCTAGCTCTATGTAAAACTGGAAATCAGGAAACTATTCCCTTATTATGAAGATTCTTTTTTTATAAGTAGGGTTTATTCTTTCTCCTCTCAATCCATCACCATCTACATCCACTTACAGATTGCAGTTCTGCTGTGTAACAATGTTTGGGGTAGAAGAAATACCATCAGGTGTGGTCATGGCCAATAGAGTGCTACAGGTGAACTCTGGATGTAAGACCAGCTGAGATTATAGGTGAAATCAGAGCTATAAATTGTCGCAGATACATTTAGTTATTCTTTTGAGACTGAGTCTCGCTCTGTCACCCAGTCTGGAGTGCAGTGGCGCGATCTCAGCTCACTCACTGCAACCTCTTCCTCCTGGGTTCACGCCGTTCTCCTGCCTCAGCCTCCCAAGTAGTTGGGACTACAGGCACCTGCCACCACTCCCGGCTAATTTTTGTATTTTTAGTAGAGACGGGGTTTCACTGTGTTAACCAGGATGATCTCGATCTTCTGACCTCGTGATCCACCCACCTCAGCCTCCCAAAGTGCTGGGATTACAGGTGTGAGCTCCCGTGCCCGGCCCAGTTATTCTTAAATATGGTATTGTTCACCAGTTGCATCACAATTACTTGGGAAACCTTTAAGAAATGCAATCCAAGTCTTACCTCCAGAGATTAAAATTCAGTCAAGATGAGATGGGATCTGGGAAATTACTTACTACTTAGGTTCTTCAAGGGATTCTGAGGAACAGTCTGATTTGGAAAGTGTTGCCCTGGAGATGGACATTCTTTACTCAAGTAAGGAAACGAGGTCATGTCGGCAGTCTATCAGGGCTGCACAAAATGAGGAACGGTAAGAAAGTAAAACTTGGCTAGGGACTTAGTACGGTAATTCAGACACAAGACTTAAAGCTATTCTGGGATCTATAAGCATGCAAGTGGATGGAGAAGGTCAAGGGAAATCTATGTCTTTTTTAAATTGACAGACACCAGGTCTTGAGAGATTTCTCCTCATTGACAGATGAGAAAACAAAGAATTATTGCCAACTTAGAGCGCACACGCACGTGCATGTGGGTACACACACACGCATTCTGCCACATAAGGAGAGAAATACCCTGAAAGTGGAGAGGAAAACTCAACCTCAGAAAAACAAAAACTTTTCCATAATAAACAGAATATGTCATAAAATATAGGCTTTGACTCAATAGAATATAAAGAAACATGACTTCCATAAAACATAGATAGAAAGTCATAAGGGGTTGAGTTGTTAAACTGAAAGTTGAGTTAAAATGGGACCAAGGAAAATTAGATTAAAAATAACTGAAAGCACATGTACAAAATTGAAATTTTTTTTGAAAATTGGGCAAAGCAGAATCTACATTCCCTAAAGTTGAAAACATGCGGAAGGAAAGTTTTATAGGTCTTTGGTCCAAGATGCAGATCAAAGAGCAAAGATGATGATGATGAAAGAAGAGAGGATAAATAGCAAATAGAGTACACTGAGATCAAAGTTTGTAATAGGTTTATTGGAAACTAAAAATATATAAAAGAAAAAAACATAATAGGAGAAAGTATTCCTTTATCTGAAAAAAACCACTTTCTATTGAAAGGAATCTTCCTTGTAGAGAGCAAAAGAAGGGAAAAGATCCTTACTCTTAGACTTTGTGTGGTAATGAGGGTAAATGGACATAATAGTGTCAAAATATCATATTGAAAAAGCTAAAAACATGATTCATAATATTACAGAATAAACATATGTCAACTAACTAATAAGGGACTTGGCGAGATAATAAATCTGGTTCACAGGAGAATTCAAGAAAATGAATATATAGAATCTCTGAAAAATAAATGCTGGACAATAACTGCTGGGTTAGAAATATAAGTACTTAATAATTGACAGAACAATAAAGCTTCAACATTTGGGTTTATCTTTTCTAATGCACAGAAATGTTTTCATCTCTGTAGGACAATATCCACAATGTGAGCTGTAATTTCATGATACTGTGGCCCTAATCAATCATATATAAGAAGTCAAACAAATGATTATACCCCAAAAGGTGAAACGGTCCTTGGGTAGGTCTGTTAAACAATGCTCTAGTATTTTGAAAGGACATGCAGTCACCTTTTTCACTTATTTCCAAGTTTTGGATAAATTTTCTTAACCCTAGTGATTATAAATAATCTCTAAAGGTTCTTGTTGATCCCAAAAAGGCTAGCTTTCTTGTGTTTTGGCCTGATTAATTTACCAACAAAAAATGTGGCAACGCATTAGTATCCATGTCATAAATCCAGCATCATAATGTGTTGAGTAACTGCTAAGGACAGAAGATTAACTTCTGACTGGAGGCTTCATAATGATAACAGTAGACTTTTAAAAGCCTCTATTATTCCGACTTCTATTCTGAGGCTAAGAAACCAAACCCCAAAAATTTATCTTTATCCTATTTCACCTGCATCACCTACAAATGTAGGTGAATTCCTCTTTTCCTGAGGTCCCCAAAATCATCTACAATGTTTGGTCTGCCAGGAAGTGACCTTCCTTTTCACCTGTAAGGCTGGAATGCTATCAGCCATAGAACAGGCACCAGGAGAGATTCCAGAAAGGACTTCATGAGCCCTGGTCCCACACTTCTTAAATATGATTGATTAGGGCCACAGTATTATGAAATTATAGCTCACATTGTAGATTTTTGTCCTATAGAGATGAAGTAGAGTCTTATTTCTTAATGGTGAGTTTGTCATAACTAATCAAATTAGATTCATTTTCAAATATGACCGGCCAGATATAGCCTCTATGGTAAAATAAGGTTTTTAATGAACCTTCAAAAATTACTATATTGCCATTTTACAAGTAAAGAGACCCAGTAAAACTATTTGTTTGTGAATTCTTAGTAATCAGGAAGAATACAATTTTATTTTTTAAAGTTTTTATTTCTGTTGTCTGCTCAATGCAGGGTTCAAGATAAATAAAAAAGAAAGATAAAGGGCCACCTCATATTCCCATTAAAATATGAATGTTAAAAACAATGTTGATGATATTCCAGGACAAATAACCACAATTTGTTTGCTGTCATAAATTAATTTAGTTCTGTGTAATTAATTCTTGTTTTGCTGGATCTTTGCAGTCTGCTCTTATAAAGTAATCTGCTTTAGACTATAAAGAGGCCTGAAAATATGGCATGTCTCCTGGTGCTTGGGACAATTGTCTAAGCAATGTTAGTTTTGAACCTATATCCACATCTATTCTTTGAAGTATAAATAGTTAAGAGTATTTGACATGGTCCTTACCAGAAGACTCTAAAACTGTCCATCTTTGGACAACTGAAGATTTCATTTCTATTCTATAGCTTATAAGAGAGCCTCAGACAAGCATGACAGGAAAGTACAACTAGTTGATGATAAGAATAAATAGCACAGTAACCAAAAGGATCAGAATGAGAGTAAAATTATCTTTCAGAGTATACCATACACAACTATTCCATAAGAATTTGATTAATATTTATCCTGTGGGAGAAGACATATATGAACCCTGGATGGCTTGACAAATCTCCAGGACCTTTTGATTCTTCCTGAAAATGGTACAGTCTCTAATATATTTACATTAATTAACTTTTATCTGAACAAAATTAACCAGCAGTTACATATGGAAAGAGAATCTTCACTTTTTCACTTGACATTCACCCTGCAGCATTTCCATAATGTTGAGCCATCTTAAAAACATGAAGCATATATAACAAACATAATTATAAGGTAAAACAACAAGTTTCTGTGTTTTTCACAGGCTCTCTGGGAAACATGGAAGATGGTTCAGTTGCAAAAGACACCTTTGATTTTTTTTCTGAATTTAGTGTTGGAACTTGGAAAAATAAGATCAACATGGTTAATAGAGGAGAGACTTAGCCATTTATTTATTTGGTCACTTATTATTTGGTTGCTTAAAATTTGTCCATCAACTGATGAATAGATGAACCACATGTGGTATATCCATACAATGGAACATTATTTGGCCACAAAAAGGAATAAATACTGATATATGCTCCAATATGGATAAACCCTGAAAACTTATGCTAAGTGAAAGAAGTCAGTCACAAAAGATCACATACTGTATGATTCCATTTACATAAAGTGTTCATAATAAGAAAATACATAGAGAAAAATTAGATTAGTTGTTGCCATTGTTTGGAGTCAGGGAGGAATAAGGAGTGACTGCTACTGGGAATGGGGTTTCTTTCTGCAGTGAAGAGATACTCTGAAGTTAAGTCATGGTGGTAGTCGCACAGCTCTCTCAATATACTAAAAAACACTCCATTATACATTTTAAAAGGCTAAATTTTATAATATATGAATTATATATCAATAAAGCCTTTTTTTAAAAAATCACGTAATAAATATTAGTTCCACTATTTCTTTCATTTCCCTGTACATTATATAGCTAACAATGAGAGAGTTATATATGTCTTGTCAAAAAGGGTCATGGAAGAATCATAAGATCATTGTGTAGGGTTTTAGGTGGATAGTAATTTTTTACAGTCCCATATTAACATGAAAAACTGCCTGTATGTGTGTATGGAAAGTGTGACGTGTGGTGTGTGTGGTATCTTTTAGTGTGTTTATTATGAAGTCACAAATTTTTACTTTTTAAAATTTTCATGAACAATATCTGGATGCAAAATTATAAAATTCTGGAATCATTTAAAAAAAGAGGGGGGAAGCAGAACAGAATGTAAAAGTGGCATTCATTTCCCTGGTTACAAAGTTAGTTATTTTCCAGATTCATCAATAACTTGAGTATCAAAAATGGCTTATCCAATTACATTTTAGAAACGTTTAAAAAAAAAAATCACAATTTTTTTTATTAATAGAGACAGGGTTTTGCCATGTTGCCCAGGCTGATCCTGAACACCTGAGCTCAAGCAACCCACCCACCTCAGCCTCCCAAAGTGCTGGCATTACAGGCGTGAGCCACCATATCCAGCCTAAATTTTTTGAGTTTGAAATACTATTCTGTCATTCAAATCATTAAAGTGAAAAGAACAAAGCAAAAAATTATCAAGAAAAACAAGAATTACAAAGAAAAACTAAAAATCAGAAAGCCAGGGCAAGATGATTGAAACAAGACCAAACATGTCAGCAATTACAATAATTTAAATAGTTTAAGCTCTATTTTAAAAATCAAATATCTTACATCAAATTAAAAAATACACATTACTTATGAGATACACTTCATAAGAGAAAGCTAAAGCAAAAGTATAAATAGGCAAAAGCAAATATAAAGACAACAGTAGTGATAATATTAAACAACATTCAATACATTTAAGATATTAAGCAATAGAGCAGAGAGTTAGTTAATACTAATTAGTAGCTCTGTTCACAACTAAAACATGAGTCATAAGCTTCTATGTGAGAAATAGCATAGTTTTGAAATAAGGTACCTTCCTAAGTTTAAAAGATAAAAACTAATCAAAATGCACATATTGAGGAAGATTTTTGCATGCTACTCATAGTCCATCCCATGGCTATCAATAATTTGAAGTACATAATAAGATGTAATCAGTAGGTACCTACTGGATGCTGTGCTTTACAAAAATATGCATCCAAGTGTCCATGAAATATTTATAAAAATTGATTGAACACTAGCTGGAATAAAACAAAGCAATTCAATTATCAATAAACTCTGAAAGACAGATATTGTAGAGAATACATTCTAACAATGTGGTCAAACAAGTTTTAAATAAAAAGTCCAAGTGCTGAGGAATACTAAAATATTCCTATAAATTATTATTAGGCAAAAGAGGAAAATCGGTGTAAAATAATTTAGAAAACAAAAGGAATGCTAATTTTCTAATTTTATAGACGGGAACTTAAGCTATACTCAGAAGCAAACATATTAGAAAGAGTGAAAGAGAGAGAAGTGAGATGAGGAAGGGAGGTGTACTAGTCCGTTTTCACGCAACTGATAAAAACATATCTGAGTGGGCAATTTACAAAAGAAAGAGATTTAATAAGCTTAGAGTTCCATATGGCTGGGAAGGCCTCACAATGACGGCAGAAGGTGAAAGGCAAGTCTCACATGGCAGCAGACAAGAGAAGAGAACTTACGCAGGGAAACTCTCCTTTCTAAAACCATCAGATCTCATGATATTCATTCACTATCATCAGAACAGCGCCAGAAAGATCTGTCCCCATAATTCAATCACCTCCCACTGGGTTCCTCCCATGACATATGGGAATTGTGGGAGTTAGAATTCAAAATAATATTTGGGTGGGGACACAGCCAAACCATATCATTCCACTCTGGCCCCTCCCAAATTTCATATCCTCACATTTCAAAACCAATCATTCCTTCCCAAAAGTCCCCTAAAGTCTTAACTCATTTCAGCATTAACTCAGAAGTCCAGTCTAAAGTCCAAAGTCTCATCCAAGACAAGGCAAGTCCCTTCCTTCTATGATCCTGTAAAATCAAAGCAAGTTCATTACTTCCTAGGTACAATGGGGGTACAGGTATTGGGTAAATACAGCCATTCCAAATGGGAGAAATTGGCCAAAGCAAAGGGGCTACAGGCCCCATGCAAGTCTGATATCCAGCAGGGCAGTCAAATCTTAAAGCTCCAAAATCATCTCCTGTGACTCCATGTCTCACATCCAGGTCACATTGATGCAAGAGGTGGGTTCCCATGGTCTTGGGCAGCTCCACCCCTGTGGCTTTGCAGGGTACAGCCTCCCTCCTGGCTGCCTCACTGGCTAGCATTGAGTATCTGTGGCTTTTCCAGTCTCACAGTGCAAGCTGCTGGTGGATCTACCACTCTGGGGTCTGGAGGACAGTGGCCCCTCTTCTCACACCTCCGCTAGGTGGTGTCCCATTTGGGACTCTGTGTGGGGGCTCTGCCCCCACATTTGCCTTCTGCACTGCCCTAACAGAGGTTCTCCATGAGGGCCCCGACCCTGCAGCAAATTTCTGCATGGGCGTCCAGACATTTTCATACATCTTCTGAAATCTAGGGGGAGGTTCCCAAGCCCCAATTCTTAACTTTTGGGCACTCGCAGGCTCAACACCATGTGGAAGCTGCCCGGGCTTGGTGCTTGCACCTTCTGAAGCTATGGCCTGAGCTCTACATTGGCCCCTTTCAGCCAGGCCTGGAGCAGCTGGGACGTAGAGCATCAAGTCCCTAGGCTGCACACTGCACAGGGACCCTGGGCCTCGCCCACAAAACCACTTTTTCCTTTTAGGCCTTTGGGCCTGTGATAAAAGGGGCTGCTGTGAAGACCTCTGACATGCCCTGGAGACATTTTCCCCATTGTATTAGGGAATAACATTCAGCTTCTTGTTACTTATGTAAATTTCTGCAGCCAGCTTGAATTTCTCCTCAGGTAATGGAATTTTCTTTTCTATTGCAATGTCAGGCTGCACATTTTTCAAATTCTTAGGCTCTGCTTCCCTTATAAAATTGAATGCCTTTAACAGCACCCAAGTCATCTCTTGAATGCTTTGCTGCTTAGAAATTTCTTCCGTTAGATACCCTAAATCATCTCTCTCAATTTCAAAGTTCCACAAATCTCTAGGACAGGGGCAAAATGCCACCAGTCTCTTTGCTAAAACATAACAAGAGTCACCTTTGCTCCAGTTCCCAACAAGTTCCTCATCTCCATCTGAGACCGCCTCAGCCTGGATTTCATTGTCCATATCATTATTAGGATTTTGGCCAAAGCCATTCAACAAGTCTCTAGGGAGTTCCAAACTTTCCCACATTTTCCTGTCTTCTGAGCCCTCCAGTCTGTTCCAACCTTGGCCTGTTATCCATTTCCAAAGTCACTTCCACATTTTTGGATATCTTTTCAGCAGCGCCCCACTCTACTGGTACCAATTTATTGTATTAGTCCATTTTCATGCCGCTAATAAAGACGTACATGGGACTGTCAACTTACAAAATAAAGAAGTTTAATGGACTTACATTTCCATGTGGCTGGGAAGGCCTCAAAATCATGGTGAAAGGTGAAAGGCAGTCTCACATGGCAGCAGACAAGAGAACAGAGCTGGTGCAGGGAAACACTTCTTTTTAAAACCATCAGATCTTGGGAGACTCATTCACTATCATGAGAACAGTGCAGGAATGAATCGCCCCCATAATTCAATCATTTCTCACTGGGTTCCTCTCACAACACGTAGGAATTGTGGGAGTTACAATTCAAGATGAGATATGAGTGGGGACACAGCCAAACCATATCAGGAGGGAAAGAGGGAAGGGAAGAAAATAGAAAGAAAGAGGCTAGATGTTAAACTTAAGAAGTCGTAATCAAGACCACTGCCACCACTAAGTTAAATAACTACATAGGTGAAGTCCTAAGAAAAATAGAGGTGAAAAATAAAAATAAGTTAAAATTAATACATTTAAAATAATATACTTTATTTTTAAAACTCAAGAGCTTGTGAGAGAGGAGGAAGAAAGAAACCCATCAGGCAGGGAGTTAGGGTGGGTCCTCAGCAAAACTCCAAACCCAGAACTGCCTGAAAATCAAGCTGCAGGTTCTGGATAAAAAAAGAGCCTGTGTCCCTGAATGGTAAATGCCTACTCTGTGAACCCAGGTGAACAAATTCCACTCCTCTTTTGGACACATTTCTCTCTCCTTGGCACACCTTTGTCTCATTGCACTCGTTTCCTCCTGATATCTTTCACCTATTTTATATATACCTATCTTTCTGTGACTTTGTTTACATGAAGTGGAACATCACTCTAGTCCCTGACTGTGGCAGGCCAAGCCTTCACTTCAGCCTCTGACTGGTCCTGGGCCAAGGTCCTGGACCAAGGCTTCACCTCTGCCTCCAACTGATTCTTTCTACTATCATGTCCCTCTCTGAGTGGTGCTTTCTCCAAATTGGCCTGCAGACCAGTCAGCACACTCCTCCCTCTTTCCAGCCCATTGAAAACCCCCCAAAAGCCCTGCAGTCAGCAACCCTCTGTCGCGTCCCCTCTTCTTGCTGAGAGCTTTCCTGTCGCCTAATACATCCAAATCTGCCTTACTCACTCTCCAATGTCTGCGTGGCTTATTCTTCTTGGTTATGGAACAAGAACCTGGAGCTTACTAGTGGTGGGAGTAAAAGAGCTGTAATACTCCCTCCTACTTGCCAAACAACAGGAGTGAAAAAGCTGCAACATTTTTTACTTTGAGTAAATAACAAAAGTAGAACTACAGCTCTGGCAAATTTAATTCAGGAAAAAAATGTTCATTAAAATAAAATTTGATGAAAGTCACAGAGCAAAATGTGGAAGTGAAATGAGGCACTGTGACATAAGCTGCATATCCATGTGGATTATGGGCTCTTATGGGAAAACCCTTTCTAATCTATTTCTTAGCTCTCCACATGATACGGTTTGGCTCTGTGTCCCCACCCAAATCTCATCTCGAATTATAATCCCTATGTGTTGAGGGAGTGACCTGGTGGGAGGTGACTGAATCATGGGGGCAGTTTCCTCCATGTGGTTCTCATGATAGTGAGTGAGTTGCCACAACAGCTGATAGTTTTAGAGTGTGGCACATCCCCCCTCATGCTTGCTCACACTGTTT
The DNA here is from genome assembly GCF_000001405.40 of Homo sapiens. Classification (NCBI taxonomy): domain Eukaryota; kingdom Metazoa; phylum Chordata; class Mammalia; order Primates; family Hominidae; genus Homo; species Homo sapiens. The sequence continues at coordinate 18,251,638 of NC_000002.12, read as the reverse complement.
CTCTCTCTCCCCTCCCCCTTCTCTCCTGCTGCCCTGTGAAGGTGCCTGCTTCCCCTTCACCATCTGCCATGATTTTAAGTCTCCTGAGGCCTCCTTAGCCATGTGGAAATGTTAGTCAAATAAACCTCTTCATAAATTACTCATTCACAGGTAGTTCTTTATAGCGTGAAAATGAACTAAAACACCACATAACACTGAATAGATTTAAAAATAAAACAGATACAAATCCATTTTTCACATGGCCTCCCTTTTGTTAGAACACAAAACAGAAGTGTTTACCAATATCTTTTTTTTTGCTAACAACAAAGGTATTTCTTAGCTTTTTTAATACACTTAGCAATTGGGAAATCTTTTGGTTTCCTACAGTTATCAATTCTGTTGAGTCCTGAAGAGTATCATCTGCTGACTGCCTTATTTGGCAAGCTGAGACTCTGCCTTGTTCTTCTCACGGGATATAGATTATGATTAATAATGGATCAGTTTTTTTGCATAATGCATCATTTATAGTTACTAAAGAAGAGCTTTTCAGAAGAAATACAATCAGAAGCAAGTTATTCAGCAGGTATGAAACAAGTATTTTCAGTCCCAGTGGTAATATATTGTAACCTGTCTTGAAACACTAGACCTAGTGGAAAGTCAAATGGTAGGGCCTCCTAATCGTATTTTTATTGAGGTGTATTAGGTTAAAATTAAAATCCAGTCTAACTTTTACAAAGAAAAGAGCAAGATTGCAAAACATCAGCCTGTACTCTTAGAGGAAAGTGGAAAGATGGGTTCCAAACCAGGCCAATCTCGACTGTTGGCTTACCAAGTCATAAGACCTCTGTTAATACCTGTGTCAGGCTGGACCCTGGAATGGTCCCCCAAACATAGGTCCTGATTCAACTTACTCCCCTCAAAAACTAGGCAGCTCAACAGTGTGGGAAAAGCAAGTGTTCCCAACCTTAGAACAGAACATCAGAACTTAGTCAAGCTTGTGAGGGGATTACGATTCTTCATATACATATCTTGAATACTTTAATGAATAAACATCATTTCCATGGCTAAATTAATGAACAGCATGAAAATAAAACATGTTATAACTCATTCCATTGCTAATAGGGATTTAGATCCTGAGAATTAAAAACAGAAATAAGTGCCCCAGATGATCACCTGTATCAACTGATAACATCTAAGCAACTTGGTCACCATTTCTAAAGTGTATTTGTTTGGTTTTCGTTTTCAGTTTGTTTATTTGCTTTACCCAAGAATTCCCTTCAGGTGTAGCCAGAGACTAGAAATTGGAAACATTCAGTTCTAAGGAGCTCTGAACTTGGTAGCTTGTGTTGTCCTTAATTCCTAAAGAAAAGAGTAAGCATGATTTATAAAGATGACCTCTTTCTGGAAACTGCCATCAATGAGAGGAGCACTGTTAATATGTCAAACCAGCATTCTGCCATGGAATTCAGGAGTCAATCAATTCTTTCTGTGTTGTCCAATATGATAACCACTAGCCATACAAATTTAAATTTGAATTAATCTAAACAGCTTTAGTCAAATTTAAAGTCAAAATTCTGTTTCTTAGTCACATTAGCCACACCTTAACTGTTCAATAGCCACACAGCTACCATATTAGACAGTACTGATATAAAACATTTTCATTATAAAAGAAAATTCCACTGAAGCTCTATTGTAGATGCAGAAATAGAAGTAGGCCTGGGCTTGCCTGGATGCTCAAGACCTTTGATGTCCCTGGATCTTACTCACTTATCTGACATCTGGCTTTGTCCCTGAACCACTAAGCTGATGGTACAGTGAACACACACAAGAACCTGGCAGGGATTAGTAGTTTCTAATTTCTTCACCACTAATGATGAACTATTGTTTTCCCTCCTATGGGCACTGTGAGTTTTAAAAATTGGCCCAGCTTCCTGTGATATGTTTCCCCATTCTATTCAATAATGGATAATCACTGGTTAGAGAGAAGGCATTGTTCCATGCCAGACTCATACCATTCTTCCTTCATACTCTTTTTCCAGGCTAGAATGCCCTTCCCAGTCTGCCCAGGTTTCAAACATCATTTTAGGACCAATTGCTTCCCAAAGCCTTCCCCAACCAATGGGCACCCCGTTGCATTCTCTCTGCCAATGCACTGTGGCACTTATACCTAGAAAATGCAGTATACTGTGTTTCTTCAAAAGGTGGTAGGACTCACTAATAGTGAACTGTATACTGCCTCTTCATCCCCACACTACTTTCATATCTCTTTAGATTGATATGTAAACTTTTCCATCAATAGGGAGCATTTATTTGTTTGGGTAAACTGTCAATGTTACTTTTGGGGAAAAGGCACCAAAAATCCACATACAAAGGTCCTGTTGACCTACATCTTGGTATTTGGATGCCCAGATTTCTAAGATTCCCTGAAGTTTTCTGTGACATGGGCTTTTCTCATTGCCATCCAGTGAGACTCCTGTAGTAGAGAACGGGGCTCTTACTCAAAGATTTAACAAAAATTTATGACCCCCTACCCTACCCACACATATACAAAATCTATCTTAAGTAAGTAATAAATGAATAAAATGTCTCTAGAATATATGCAATGCATCTCTAGGTCCCTGAACACCTTGCACCTGCTATTACTGCTATCACTACAACAATAACAACAGCCGTAGTGCCAAACCTTAGCAGCCAGAGACTACCAGCCACAAATCTGCTGTCTGGCAGATCAGATTAATTGATTCAACAGTGAGGGAGGGCAATCCAGATACCATGAGGGAGGAGGAAAACGTCTTTTTTAAGGTGTGAGATCCTGATGAAAGGCTTTAAGGGAGATCTAAAGGAAGCAGGAATTAATTCTGGCTTGGTTGCTTATCCTGAGGCTGGACTAAGAAAAACAGAGATTGACTAGGAATTAGGTCATGAGGCAAAGGTAACATGGTATTGTTTGGATGTTCGCCACCTCCAAATCTCATGGTGAAATGTGACTTCCAATGTTGAAGGTGGGGCCTGCTGGGAGGTGTTGGATCGCGGGGGCAGATCCCTCATGAACGGTTTAGCACCACGGTCCTTGGTGATTAGTGAGTTCTCACTCCATTAGTTCAAAAAATAGCTGATGGTTTAAAAGAGCCGGGCAGTGCTTTTCTTTTAAAAGAGCCTTCCTCTTTCTCTTGCTCCTGCCTTCACCATGTGACACACCTGCTCCCCTTTCATTTTCCACCATGATTGTATGCTTCCTGAGGCCTTTACCATGAGCAGATGCTGGCACCATGCATCCTGGATAGCCTGCAGAACAGAGAGCCACTTACAACTTTTTTCTCTATAAATTGCCCAATCTCAGGTATTCCTTTAGAGCAATGCGAAAACAGTCTAACACAGTCATCTAGCGATTGGATATCCCCGATAATATTAGGGAATTTCAAGATGGGTCTCAGGGAGTCATAGGTAGGAAAGCTGTAACCACTCAAAGAAGAGGTTATTATGAATTCTACAGCTGCTGTTTGACCTGGGGAGGAACAGTGGTTTTTGTTAATTTTTTAGCTGGATTTTTCTATGTCTGACCTTCCAGCCCCAGGAACAGCCTGAATTAATTTTCACTCTTTCATCTTGAACAGCTTTTTCACTCTTTCAAGTGTTAACTTTTACTTAGCATTAGCTATGCGTCAGGCATTAATCAGAGGGCCTTTTATCTAATCCTAGCCACATTCTATAAAGTAGGTACTATTATTACCCATACGTAATTTAAATAAGGGAAAGTTGAGGTTCAGAGTGTTTAAGTAACCCGTCTATAGTTACCCAGCAAGAAAGTGGCAGGCTGGAATTCAAATAAGCTGTGTGTTTTCAGTCTGCATTGTCACCCATAATGCAGTACTGATATAAACAAACACAGCAGTGCGTGGCAGGGAACAATGGGGGAAATGTTGGCAAGCAGGAAAGAAACCGCAAAGTCCTTTATATTTTTTTCCATAGCCAAATTGTCAGCCAGGTTATTTTGAAAGTATTAACTTCCAGGTATTTTTAGACATTGTGCTAAGACCTCCTAGATAAGTTCATAGATCTAATAGACCTTCTGTCCTAGTGTTTCCAGTTTTTGAATGATAAAATCAGGCTGCCTCAGGGAAGCTACAAAGGGTGAGGTTTGTTTTTTTCTTTTCTTTTCTATTTATTTATTTATTTATTTATTTATTTATTTATTTATTTAGATGGAGTCTTGCTCTGTGCCCAGGATGGAGTACAGTGTCATTATCTTGGCTCACTGCAAGTCCACCTCACGGGTTCATGCCATTCTCTTGCCTCAGCTTCCCGAAAGGGTGAGGTTTTATAGTGGCACTTAAGGGATTTATGGAAAACAGAAGGTATGTGTGTTCTGTAATTTTTCATTCATAGTTCCATAGTAAAGCTATTTTTTTTTTGTTTCTACTTCACTGCCCAAGAGATTAAATGGGTTCTGAAATAAGAGGTTTAGTACCTGATAACACTGCCTGGTTTTCCAGTCATGATAAAAATTATTTTTAGCTCTGATGGTGGGGAATGCTAGAAAGAGTCACTCAACTGCACTGGTTTTAGCAATGCTTCAACTCCTTCTAGTCCACCTTCATTGTGTTTATCTGTTTTCTAGCTAGTTAATGTCAGGGAGGCTTCATCTAGATCTTTAGAGCCCACTGATCTTATCCGGGGTGACTGCTTGCACTTGAGCTCTTAACCCCAAACGAGTCTTCTAAAGTCAATAGTAAAAACCCTACACACACTGATGTGTGTGTGTTAAACTTGGGTCTCCTGAACACATGGTAGCATCCTCATATCCCACAGAGGAGCCTGATTCTCTAGGTCTTTTCTTTCTGAAGGCTTGGAAGTACCAGTTTCATAGAATGCAGACAACAGTCCACAGCAAAATTTGGGACCCTAAATTCACGTGCAAATTAAGTTTCACTTTTGCAGGAATAACACTACACTACATGAATACGTTGTTAAATAGAACCAGATTTGGGAAAATACTTAGTTTGCTTTATCCCTAGTTTAAATATGACTTGGGGGAAAAAAGGCTCAAAAACATAGCAAGTCTTGATTAAGACCAGAATTCTACATGTTAAAAGCATAATACTAGAATTCTGTTTTCTTTTACCAACAGAACCATTGAAAAATGGTTAGAAAAAAACTAGTGTTGTCACTTTTTTCCTAGAGGGTGGGTTATTTTGTACTCCATGTTTGTTTTTCCCTACTAAAGGCTCCTGGCATTTCTATTCTGGTCTCCTACACCATTTGCTTCTGCCAAATCAATTTATGAATTTGGTCTAACTATTTTTTATGCTGATTAAAAAGTTGACAACACAACTATACAAAATAAATTATTTTATTTCCCTCTGTGATAATGTTGTCCGCCTGGAAGATGCTTAATTAATGATCTGGGTCTCTTCAAAAATGCTCTGACCTTGTGAAGTTTACATACATCTGTTAACACACTCAAGTGGGTTCACCGATGGATCAGCCTTTTGACTTTGGCTGCTTGTAATGAAGGACATGGGCAGCATGTGACCCCTTTGGAGAAGTGCAAGAATTTGGAGAGTGTGAGAGTAACCCTAGTTGCTCTATACATGGCAGTAGGATGGAAGGAAGCATGATTTTCCATATCTATAACAGCAGGTGCCTCCTGCCTCAAGGGTTGGCTTAAGCTGTGTTGTGAGATGAGGCATTCCACTAGCTGAGGACCTTTAAAACAAAAAGCAATGCTTAAGCGAAACCCCAAACCAATTAGGAGGGAGGCATAGGAACCAACATATGCACCCAGGTAACTGTAATGAGAAGCCAACCACTCTGAGAACTATTGCTGTGCAGCATCAGTGGGCCCCAAAATTCCAAATAAATACCAAGGCTCACATGTCCCCATTGGGACAAGAAAAAAAAACAGGTGCTTGCAGAATTAGAGCCAGAACCAGAGAGAGAACATCCTTCCCAAAGGGACCTCAAAGAGTCCCACGGTGACCTCCACTGCTGAGCTGGCTCCACATTGGCCAAGTCACATCAGACCCTTCACTCTTGGAGGTGGAGTTGGTCCCAATGTGCAAAGTCTCCCTCAGTCACCCTGCCTTGGGATGAGCTCAGAAAGCTGCAGCTGCTGCTTCCAGCCAACTCCCCAGGGGAAATGACAAAGCTTCATATGTCATCTCCTAGCTCTGCTGTGGAAACCCTTTCCTTAATTATGTATTGATCTAGCTTTCCTGATATTTTTTAAAAGAAACATATGTTCCCTATAAATATATGAAAAAAATATTAAATTCAGATACTTTTAGAAAGAGCCACATCATGAACTCAAATAAACAAAAGAAAATTAATATTTTAAAATTCTGATATGTTTCATTTGATTTTTTAAAATATAAAGGCTACTTGTAATTCTTGCTAAGATGCTGAACAAGCATGGGCTGCTAGTTCTTTCCTCCAGTATCAACTCCAGAAAAACAACACAGGAGAGGGAAATTTTTATCTGCTAAACCAATATAAAAACCTTAAGAGACCAAAGGCTTTCATGAGCTGGTGTGTGTGCATGGAGGCAGGAAGAGGGCACGACAGGGGCAAGCCTGAAAAAGGAGCCTCTTGACACAGCAGGAGGAGTAGAGATTGGAGGGAAGCCATCTGCTGTCTGTCCCCTGCATTGCCTTGATGTGAGAGCCAGTCTCCCAACAACTGATTTACCCATATGACACTAATACTCTAAAGTGAAGCCAGCACAGAGAACCATCGCTGTAGACTCACAGTGGGCACCCACATCCCAAATGAATGTCAAGCTCACACATCCCCATCAGGACCAGGAAACCAGAGGCTGCATTATTACAATCAGAAGCAAGAAAAGAATGCTCTTTTAAAGAGGGACCTCTTCATTGCCTTGCCTGTTCTCCCTCTACATTCAGTAAAGCTCATCTGTGTAACCAATATTAAATAAGTGTGGAATGATGGTAATTTTCTGTTACTAAAAATCTATATTGCAGTGACCATTATTACTATACAAATATCTTTGTCAACTTTTACAAATTTTTTTGTAAGAAAAATGCCCTAAAATGTATTTGTTGAATCAAAGAACATAGTGGTTTTTAATTTTAATGTATACTGCCCTGTAGGAAAATTTAATCAATTATATTCTTACTGTCGGTGTAGAGAATACCTATTTTCTCTTATACCTACTGACTAAAATTTAGTATTACCAGCCTTTAAATTTTGCTATTTGGTAAGCAAGACATTATCTTTTAAATATTCATTCCTCTGATAATGCTGTTGTTGAGCTGTGTGTTTTTAAATATAAAATATATGTTCATGTCTTTTGCCCATTTTCTATTTGGCCATTTTTTAATTGATCTGTAGGTAGATTTTATACGTTATGCATATTGTCCCTTTATCTATCACATATTTTTAGAAAATTTTCCCTGTTTGAAATTAGTCTTTCTTTAATATGGTATCCTCTGTCATACCCAGGGTGCTGATCCAACAATTTGAGTGGCCTGTCTCTCCATCCTTCACTTCTCTCAGGACATGTATGGTTGTGTGGCTCTTGTTCACTCTCCCTGTCATCCTCCTGAAAGTTTTTTGTTGTTGTTCATTCTCCTGCAGGCCAGCCTGTGGATGAATCTCTGCTTAAGTCATGGAACAGATGCAGGCCCAGCTGTTCCACTGAAGATTTTCTGTTAAGAGCTGATTCCAGAAGCTACTGGGCAGCATGTTATGTTGAGCTCATTCTAGGAAATGGTACCAAAGATGTTTAGATGGTGGCATCTAAAACCCAACCACTAGCTGTCAGGCACAGGCTGCATGCACAGATCTTCATGCAGACTTCCATGGAGCTCTAACAGAATAGACTCAATATGATTTTTTTTAATACATTAGCACTATTGCTATTTCTGTAAGCCTGGAATTTTCTCTAGACCAAGAACCTCAATAAGTCCTAATGTCTCAAAGAAAAATGGTGTTTGACAAGGTATTACCACTTAGCACACTTAAACATTATTAATTGTAATAGTCCATGAATAAGCCTGTAAAATCTTAAAGAGAAGTTGATATATGTGGAAAGTGAAAAAGACCTCATTAAAGCTGATTCTTTTAGCAACTCACATAACCTGGCACAAATTAGATAACTGCTATTGAAATAAAGGATTCAAATAATCCAATGACACTTCAGAAGGTGTATTAGCCCAGTCTTGCATTGCTATAAAGAAATACCTGAGGTCAGGCGTGGTGGCTCATGCCTGTAATCCCAACACTTTGGTAGGCTGAGGTGGGCAGATCACGAGGTCAGGAGTCTGAGACCAGCCTGACCAACATGGTGAAAACCTGTCTCTACTGAAGATACAAAAAATTAGCCAGGCATGGTGGTGCGTGCCTGTAATCCCAGTCACTCAGGAGGCTGAGGCAGGAGAATCGCTGGAACCTGGGAGGTGGAGGTTACAGTGAGCCAAGATCGTGCCACTGCACTCCAGCCTGGGCAACAGAGAGAGACTCAGAAAGAAAAAGAAAGAAAGAAAGAAAGAAAGAAAGAAAGAAAGAAAGAAAGAAAGAAAGAAAGGAAGGAAGGAAGGAAGGAAGGAAGGAAGGAAGGAAGGAAGGAAGGAAGGAAGGAAGGGAGACTCAAAAGTGGATAATTGGATAATTCATAAGAAAAGAGGATTAATTGGCTCATGGTTCTATAAGCTTTACAGGAAGCATGGCAGCATCTGCTTCTGGGAAGGCTTTGAGGAGCTTTTACTCTTTTACTCATGGCAGAAGGCAAAGTGGGGGCAGGCATCTTACATGACAGGAGCAGGAGCAAGAGAGAGCATGAAAGGGAGGTGTCACACACAGTTAAACAACCAGATCTCATGAGAACCCACTCATTATCAAAAGGACAGTACCAAGAGGATGGTGTTAAACCATTCATGAGAAATCTGTCCCCATGATCCAATCACCAGGCCCCACCTCCAACACTGGGGATTACAATTCGACATAAGATTTGGTGCAGACGCAAATCCAAACCATATCAGAAGATAGAGATCAATGTTTGTCACAAAGAGGCTAAAATCCCAGTTATATAACAGTACAACATAGATAACAAATAAGCCTTCCACTGTCATAAGCAACTTAAAAGAGATTACTGTAAGTTTTAAGCATATATATGTGATATATATGTGTGATACACAAACGTGACCACTGTATGACAATATTATGATAGACTTAGAGGCTTAAAACAACACATATTTATTATTTCAGTTTCTGTGAGTCGAGAATCCAGGTAGGCTTAACTGAGACCTCTGTTTCAGGTTTTCTCTCAGATCAGCTTGGTCAGGGCTGGGTTTCATCTGCAAGTTCAAGTCAGAAAGGAACTTCTTCTGTGCTCACTCAAGTTGCTGGCTGAATTTGCTCCTTGAGGGTTGTTGGACTGAGGTCCTGAGTTCCTCACTGGCTATTGGCTAAAGAGCCCTCATATTTTCTTATCATACTGAGCTCTCCAACATGGCAGCTCACTTATCAAAGCAATAGAGAGACTGCTACCAAGATCTAAGCTATAAATTTCTTAAAATCTGATCATGAAAGTAACATCCTATCATCTTTTCCAATTTCAATTGATGAGAAGCAACTAATGAGAAGTTGCTAGGACAGCCCATAAGGTCTTGAGTCCTTAAATACATTCTTGAGATAGGTCATTAGGGGCCATGATAGACGTCACCCACCATAGCCCTCCCCCAAATAATCATAATTTATTACCTGTTTTATTTTCTTCATTGCTTTTATCACTACCAAGAATTATGTTATTTATGTGTCCACTTATTTACTATCTGTCTTTCATCACTAACCAGCTAATACGTTAAAGATATGAATCTCAACCTTGGAGGTTACTGCTGTATCCCCTGTGCCTAGAATAATACTGGATACTTGTTTGGCACTCAAAAAATGTTTATAGAATGTATAAATGAATGAAGAAATGAATACTATTAATGAATACATAGCTACTTTCAGTAATTGCTTATTATACAATACTGACATGAAAGCCTATAGTATGTGTCAATGCCATAGGCTTTGCTCTGGCAGAATGTCAAACTCCCTTGCATCTGTTTGCTCCTTTCACTTTGGGCTTAGTATGACCTACCTACAAAACCTTGATCATCTCTTTCCTTCCATGGATTCATATATTTATGTGTGTAGAATTTTACAAGGTCAAAATGAAGTAAAACTTAGTTTTACTAGTTCATAGGGATTTTACAAAGTGAGAATGAAGTAAACCTTCACTCTGATGGATGCTTCAGAGCTTTAGCTTTGCTAAAACTCAAAGGAGAACTTTAAATACATCAGCAGCATGGGAAACAGAAAGAAAATTGGACTAGACACTGGAGTCCTGTGTTATCACTTATGGACAAGTCAGTTTTGAATTATGATAGTGGACACTCAGAAATCAGAAGAAAGAAGAGTAAAATTACCAATAAAAGAAACAGATGTAATCCCAGCACTTGGGGAGCCTGAAGTGGGTGAATCACAAGGTCAAGAGATGGAGACCATCCTGGCTAACATCCAGTGAAACCCCATCTCTACTAAAAATACAAAAAAAAAAAAAAAATAGCCAGGTGTGGTGGCATGTGCCTGTAGTCCCAGCTACTTGGGAGGCTGAGGCAGGAGAATCGCTTGAACCCAGGAGGTAGAGGTTGCAGTGAGTTAAGATTGCGCCACTGCATTCCGACAGAGCAACACTCCTTCTAAAAAAAAAAGAAAAAGAAAAAAGAAAACCAAAAGCCAGGCAACCTCCTTAAAACAAAACAAAACAAAAAGATGAATTTTTGTAAGAGAGGCAATAGAGCTTCTTGGGAAAACTGGAGTTTAGGGCCAAATTCTTCTTCTACTACTCTTGGGCTGATATATCATTGGGAAAACTTGTCAAACTGTAGTCTCCTTTCCTTATCTGTAATAAAAGGATTGTCATACGTAACGGAGCAGTGTGAGGGTTAGAGCAAAGAACAGAGTCACTGGTTTACATTAATGATATGAGTCCAATTCTTTTTAAAAATATTGAGCAATGCAGTGAAGGGGGCAAGCATCACCTCACACTGAGTTGGAAATAGTCCCTCAATAGCAGACATCAAAAAATAGCATGATACCTGGCTGGGCGTGGTGGCTCACGCCTGTAATCCCAGCACTTTGGGAGGCCGACGCAGGTGGATCACCTGAGGTCAGGAGTTCAAGATCAGCCTGGCCAATGTGGTGAAACCCCGTTCTCTACTAAAAAAATTAGCCAGGTATGGTGGTGCATGCCTGTAATCCCAGGTACTTGGGAGGCTGTGGCAGGAGAATCACTTGAACCCAGGAGGCGGAAATTGCAGTGAGCTGAGATCGCATCATTGTACTCCAGCCTGGGCAAGAAGAGTGAAATTCCATCCCAAACAAACAAACAAACAAACAAACAAAAAAGAGCATGATACCAGAGGAAAGAAGAACTCCCTCCCACCAAAATGGGTCTGAAACTAGGTCCTAGCTGAGTATCCCAAAGAAAGATCAGTGAGCTTCACTGGGAGAAGCCAGGAAGCAGAAATGATGGGAAGTGGGCAGAATTTGACCACTGTCACCTGACTGAGTGTAGGGTCTATGCCTGATTTGCTTCTCTATTCTTTTCAGTGCCTCACACATAAAAGACCCTAGTAATTGAATTGTTTAAAGGATTCATTCCACCCAGAACATCCTTCAGGCCAAACGACTTCTATATAGTGCATCCTATTCCCATTATAACTGATCTCTGTATAGATCATTATGGAGATCTATTAACTCATTGAGTTAGTATCTCTGAGTCAATTTTTAGCGCTAGATATGTCGTCAATATAAAAGTTGCTTTAAGGGAAAGGCCATTTTTTTCTGGCTATTTCTTTGTCCTCTTCTAAACAGTAAGTTCCATGAGGGCAGGGACTATATATGTCTTGTTCACTAGCATTTCCCCAGCACAAGAACTAGCGTATGGTAGGTACTCCATAAATGTTTGTTAAATTAGTGAGTGAACTAATGAATAAGTGAATGGCATGTGTTAAAAATACATTTGACACTTATTATGATTTAGAACGTCAAAGGATTTAGCAGACTAACTATAGCTGTGCTGTCTTAGGCTAAAGCAGCCACAGAGAGAGCGTTAGATAAAAGGACCATGATTTTTACTCTGTTTGCGCTGCTTTTGTCCTCTAAAAAGGACTTCCCACTTTCCTTTGCCTGGCTAACTCCTATTTGTTTTTTAAGCATCCTTTCTGAAGAATAAAACCAATAAAAGTGAAAGTAGTTGATCTCACAGATACCCACATGGCCTTGTTAAGTTGCATTTTTAGAAAGGAGAAACTTTAACCAGCTTAATGGTTCTGAATTCTTTAAGTCTTTAGTGTAAAGCCTGTTTGCACTTAATGTCTGAAGTGATTTAGGAATTCTGCTATTATTACTTGAAGTAATGTTACATTAATTAAGGTTACATTAATTTCTTATATAAATCTTGGCCATTGTTCTTCTAAAGCCAATTAAAAGTATTATTTCTTTAAAAAATTATGCTATGAAATATACCACATACACAAAGTACTGTATCCAGTGAAATGTATTTGGACACTCACATTTCTACTTCTTATCCTATTTTATTAAGGTGCCAAAGTTGATTTACTTATTCTTCATTTAATGGACTTTTGTATCATTTCGAGAGTTTTGCTATAACAAGCAGTGGTTCTTTCCATGAATATTCCTTTACGTTTCTTCTGAGGTTATATGTAACAGCTTCCCCAAAGTGCATGCCTATGTGTGGAATTCCTTGGTTATAGGAAATAAACATACTCCAATAACTAGAATATGCTAAATGATTTTCAAAAGTACTTTCAATGTCCAATAGTATATGTGAATTCCCACATTTCCACATCTTTGCAAGACTTGGCATTTGCTATTTCATTTTTGACAAACTGGTAAGGGTAATATTTTATCCTTAAATATTTCTTTGAAAGGGCAAGTTTCAAAGAAAAAAACTAACAAAATACCTAAGTATTTAATAAAATTATTTAATCTGTAATTATCAAAATTATTTAGAATTCAATCAAATTCTTTTGAAATTTTTTCATACATAGCCATATCAACTTTAGGTGAACATCAAGTATTTTCTTAAAGGACCATGGCTTAAGGACTTTGGCCCATGCTGGGAATGGTTTTCCCAAAAGATTATCAAGAAAAGATAAAAAATTCTGTGAATTCCCTCCTCCCATAGAAACAAAACAAAACAAAAGAAAGTGTTCAGGGCGTCATCTCCAACTCCATCAGGAGTCTGACTTCTGTGCTCTGCTTATTCCGTTCTCCTCTCGAGAACAATGCAGCCAGTGGCAAAGAGTTCCGTATCTGGGCCAGACTTTCTGGATTTGATTCCTGGCTTTACCACTTAACAGCTGTCAGCCCATGGGCAAACGCCTCAGTGCCCTCATTTGCAAAATGGGGAAGAGAATAAAGCCTATATCAAAAGTTTGTTGTGAATATTAATTAGTTAATAAATGTAAGGCATTTGTAGAGGACCCAGCAATAGTAAACATTTGATACATTTAGCTCTGTACAAGCTTACTAATACTATTAGTTGGCATTTGCTATTTTGCAGTAAAAACATCTCTACTGTTTTTGCCACCTCCATTAGACTATGAGTCCAGACACTATGTGTTTTGTTTGTTGTTGTTGTTTTTTAACCTATAAATGGCACTATATTCAGAGTCTGACACAGAGGAGATGTTCAGTCATGATTTGACTACATAATTATAAGAAACACAGTTAAATGCCTATAATTGCACCTAGTCCTAAGTTCCCCAGATACTTGATATAAAAACATTTGTTTACATTTGGTAGTTTTCCCAAATAACCACCGTGGAATTTGGGAAAGTCTAGAATCTTTATACCATCTTAGAGAACTGAAATTTCATTCACTGAAAGTCAACCAGTAATATAATTTTCCTAAAGTCAAATAAAAGTCAAGAAAAGACTTCAGGTTTAAGAAAGAGTACAGAACAGTGCTTCTCTTAGGATCGCATGAACACTAAAGGAATAAAAAGATCCAACTCAGCATTACAACTGAAAGAAGGGGGTGAGTATCAACAAAAGAGATAAGCTAATGTACTTCTGGAACACAAAAAGCAGGTTAAGCTTATTGATTGACAAAATAGAGTAGCACAAGCCAATGTGCAGAAGGTCGGCAGAGATGATGTCAGTGAAGACTGAGGAGGCACCCTACCCTACAGAGCAAAACCCTGCAGAAGAGGCAGACATAAAAATGGAGAGCATGGGAGGAAAAAAAGGCTAAAAAGTGGTTAATTGTCATTCTGAGGAGCTGACTCCCTCTTTACCTACCTTCCTACACCTCTTAAACATACAATTGAAAACTAGCCCAATGTTTACCCCAAGACACAAAGAAAATTCTTTAAAAAAAACCCTTTAAATTATTATCTTCATATAATGTCTTAGGCCAGTCTCCAAGGGAAATAGGCTTGAGAGAGATTTGCCTGGTCCCAAATGACGGGAGTGAACAAGTAAGAGAAGCAGGATTGAACAGAAAAAAAAGTTAAAAAGTGATACAACTGCAACAGACACTTCAGATAACCCTAGGAGGTGCTCAGGGGTTGGAATGGTCCTTCAGCTATTTCTAGAATTAAAGCAAGAAGCCAGCTCTATACCGAACCCAACCCCACCCCCACCCCCATTGATCAGTTATTGGATTCAGGCTACCCATGGAGGAGGTTTGTATAATTCCCAAGAAAGGACTCACAAGCAACACTGAGCAGCAGGGTGTAGAGGAATGAGTGCCTCCCTATTGGAAGGGGAATCTGGGTGGCAGAACAGAGCATCCATCACACACATAAATTTCAAAAGCCACTATAAAATAAGAACGTGATGACATATTGGTATAAGACAAAAACAGTGAGAAAGAAGAAAAAAGTTAATTAAAAATTAATTTAATGTAGTTTAAAAGAAAAATAAAGTGCTTACTGAGTAAAAATCATTCTGCAGAAGCATGTACATGTAAAGGCAAGAAATCTCAAATGAAGAATAAAAAGACCAATATAAGCAAAACTACCAAAGACAAAATAATTTAAATCAGCTGGGCACAGTGGCTCACGCCTGTAATCCCAGCACTTTGGGAGGCAGAGGTGGGTGGATTACTTGAGGTCGGGAGTTCAAGACCAGCCTGGGCAACATGGCAAAACCCCGTCTCTACTAACAATACAAAAATTAGCCGGGCATGGTGGTGCATGCCTGCAATCCCAGCTACTCGAGAGGCTGAGGCACGAGAATCACTTGAACCCAGAAGGTGGAGGTTGCAGTCAGCCAAGATCGTGCCACTGCACTCCAGTCTGGGCAACAGAGCGAGACCGTCCCCCCCAAAAAAATAAAAAAATAAATAAAAAATAAAAAATAAAAAGTTTAAATGAAGAGCACTAAGATTTGAGAAACAGAGAACAAAGAAAAAGAATGAAAAGAAATTAGCAAATACAAGCAAAATGGCGGGACGCAGTGGCTCACGCCTATAATCCCAGCACTTTGGGAGGCCAAGGCAGGCAGGTCATAAAGTCAGGAGTTTGAGACCAGCCTGGCCAATATGCTGAAACCCCGTCTCTACTAAAAATACAAAAATTAGCTGGGCCTGGTGGCTTATGCCTGTAACCCCAGCTACCTGGGAGTCTGAGGCAGAAGAATTGCTTGAACCGCGGAGGTGGAGGTTGCAGTGAGCCAAGATCACGCCACTGCACTCCAGCCTGGGCAACAGAGTGAGACGCCGTCTCAAAAAAAAAAAAAAAAAAAAAAAAAGAATTTGCAGAAATGAAGAAAACAAATTAAAGGGGCCTACCAATTAATACATAAGATTTTAAATGCAAAATTCATACACACACATGCTTGTAAAATTTCAGAACACCAAGAATAAAGAGAAGATCCTAAAATTTTGTGTATTTGTGGGGGAAAGTGGGTAGGGAAGGGGTACAGATAGGAAAACAAAAAAGCTTGCATAGACAAAAGAGTCATCATGCTGGCATCTAGTTTATCACCAGCAATGCCTTCACATCATTAAAGGAACCTAGAATTTTATTCCAGACAATATATGAAAATAAGCTCAGAATAAAAATGTTTTCAGATATGAAGGGTTTCAGAAAATTTTCCTCTCACAAATTATTTAATAGGAAGTTGCTTAAATATATGCTCCAGGAAAGTAAGGGGATAAGCCAAGAAAGAGAAAGAATGAGATTCAGAATCCAACCCAAGCCAGCAATAAAGAGAAGGCAGGCCTACAAAGAGTCAGTACAGACTGGAGTGGCACCACGTCAGAACCAGGACCTCCCACCAAGAGGGGAGTCCTAGGTTAAAGAATTTTACTGAAATGTTGGCAAAATTTAATATTGTTATAAAGTCAGACAATGCTAGACCCTTTTAAAAGGCAATTGAAAACAACAGGAAGAAAAAACTAAATGGCCAAACAAGAAGCAAATTAAGTCATCGTACTCAGGCTCTGCAGTGAATAGTTTTATTTAGTCAATAAAATAAATGCATTTTATTGATTTTAAACTTTTAGAATGACCCTCTGGACAAAGCACAGAAGACTTAACTAGGGTTACAAAGCAGAATGTAAAAGTTGAAAATTTAAGAGTAAAGGTGAAGATAAGAGAAGTGGGTCAGTGTGAGTGGGAAAAAGATGAAATATGGGCTTCTCATATCCTCATCCCCCAAGTGGGCAGTCAAGAGATACTATCAAAAGTGATTAAACAAGAAACACAATTTTAAAGATATTAAAATAGTTAACTAATAAAAATACTAAAAATATTGATATAAGAACATGGCAATGAAGGGGGTGTGTGTCTCGGATTATTGCAATAGATAAATCCTCATTAGAAAGTCAATAGTGAATGTCTAAGGTTAATATATCAATTAATGACTACATATGCATGTTGTTTTAAAACGTGGCAGAAACTCCAGAAGAACCCAAAACAGAAGTGCTTTAAAGTATTTATTTCTTGGATGTACAGGTGGTAATAGGTCAAAATGTGGCAGTGGATTATTACTTATAAGGTCAAATGTACCTGTTTGACCATGAAAATATATTACTTTCATATAGTTGCAAATAGGTGATTGAGATAATAATAAATAGAAGAGAGAGAGAGAGATGATAGATAGGTGGATGGATAGATAGATAATAGATAAGAGTCAGAATAGAAAGCCGGGAGAATAATTAATTTATAGAGTTGTTCTACTTCTTTCCATCAGTTTAAAATTATTGTGAGTAACTTTCAATTGAAGACAGGATCCAAAAAAATGGAAAAAAAAATCCTACCATTTTAACAGTTACATTTTTAACCAGAAGACAATGCAATACAACAAATATTTATGGAACACTTCCTGTGAGCTAAAAACAGAGCTAATGTCTATAAGGATATGAATATAAATAAGGCATAGGCCCTGCCCTCAAATTCACTTATTAGTTTTTTGTAAAGGGAATAACAGGTTTACAGATAAGTAAAGTAAAATATGGAATTAAAAGTCTCATAAATAATGACAACAATAACAAGACACTAATGGGAATTCAAAAAAAGAACATTCATCACAAGTGAAAAGCAATGAGGTTCTCAGGGAAGGCTCAGTCTTAGAAATTGAAAGACAGGACATAGAGTCCAGTTCTACTGGAAAACAAAATGCATTAATCAACCTGAGAAAAGAAAGAGTAGAATGAATTCAAATTTAAGAGACTCTTGAGTGCCAGACAGCTCATACTTTATCCTGTATTTACTGAATGTGTTTTAGTAAATGGAAGGGTGTCAGAAAATGTACCAGTTAAAATAGGGTTGGTTATGCTGCAGTTACAGACAAGACCCAAACTTTTGTAGTTTACAAAAATAAAGGCTTATTTTATGTGCATGCTAAATGTTCATTATGGTTTGGCAGGGAGGCTTTTGCTTATTGCAATCACCCAGGGTCTCAGTCTAAGAAGCAGTCACATCTCAAACACCACTGTTCATCAAGGAAATAAGAGCTCTTCGGGGTTTGCACTGTCAAGTAAAATTTCAGCCCAGAAAGGATACATGTTACTCCTGCTCTCATCTCATTGGCCAGAAATAATTAGAGCGTCCCATCCAAACATAAGAGGCCAAGAAGAGCAATCCTACCTGGAGTGGAAGAGAGATGGAAATTTTTAGGGAAATATCACTAATGACTACGACAATGAGTATGGGAATGAGAAGAATTATGATCAAAGTTGTGCCTTAGTAAGACAATTGTATTAGTCAAGATATATTCTATAGCATAGTTTTGTATTCATTAGGCCAAAGTTTTTTATTCAATTAAATTAGATGGGTTATTCATGCTAGCTAGCTGACTCAATGTGAAACACTGCCCTTTATACAGCAAAGAATGTTATCAGCCTAGGGATCTAGAGTAAACACCCACCAGGACTTAAGAGAGGTAGACTACAAAGCCAGAGAAGTTTTTCTGTTTGTTTGTTTTTATTTATTTAGCCCAGTTTCCCAAAACTTTGATGGTCAGCCCCACTGAGGAAATTCATAGATTTTTAAAATTGTTTTTGCCATCAAGTAAGTTAACAAGTAACTCTGAGATAAAGAACATGTGTTTAGAGCTAGCTTACAAAGGACAAAATCAAAATATTGAGAAAAAAAGTACCAACTTTCAGCCAGAGCTGATTTGTCTGTATCAGAGTCAAAAGGACTTTGAAAACTATAGTATGTTTAGCTTGGATTTTGACCAAATTATCTCTGTCATATTGCCCCGTTTTCCCGAAGCAAGGTCCATAGATCACTGCAGAAGTTTTAAACCATTATTTGAATTGAGACAGACTTCCACAAAGTGAGTACTTATCTGTAACTCACTAGTGCTGATGGTCACAGGAAGACATGGCAAAGAAAGACGCAATGGATCATTACATTCAATGAAAAAAAAAATTTAGTGAGTCTTATTTGAGAAAAACTCTTTGGATTAAAAAGGTAAGTCCTAACTTTCTTCCTATAAGTGATTTTTAAAGGACAGGCATTTCTTAGTCATTTTTCACTGTCTGTGTCACAGTTTCTTTATTTTTTATTAAGAACAAAATGATGAGCAATGTATTAAAAAGAAATGTTAATTTATATATCTGAAATTATGCTTCACTTCTTACATCATTTTCGACATGAATAACTCCCTTTACTTATGACATGAAAGCAGGTTTGGCTAGAATTTCTTGTTAAGACAATTATAAATACTACCCATCACTGAAAACAATAAATACCAAGGACACTCAGATTGATGAAGCCATCAGTGTTAATACAGTAGGGATGCTAAAAATAAGACTGTTAAGGCTGTCAGCATCTATTTTTTTCACCCTAATTGCAACAAATTCACAAAATGGTAAAGAATTTAACAATCAAACTATCATTTCAACATTATATCATTTAACTACTTTGTAATTCTATGCACTTACTTTATAATGGCAATTCCAAAGCACTTTAGTATATACTTTTTAATACTTTGCAAAATGCTTTCCGTATTTTTTGAGATAAGATCACAGTACCCTTGGAATAGTGGTTTGAATTCTGGATTCAAAAGAAAAACTGGAATATCAAGTAAACAATATATTCAAATAAAACTATTGTGGGATAAACATTTTTTTCTTCAAAGGCTTCAGATAAATTAAGACATAAAATACACACATCTGTGGCCAATTGATGGCTGTTAAGAACAAATGGCATTGAAGACTATAGGTTTTAGGGTCAGTAAAATATCCCATCCATGGTTTAGGAGCTATTAAATTACTTAACATTTTCAAGATTTAGGTTCTTCATTTGTAAGACAGGGATAATAATATCTATTTAACAATTAACTAAAATGAATGAAAAATTTTATATAAAACATGTATTACAGGGCTTAAACATGGTACATAGACAATAATGTATTAATAATTTTTAACCGACGTGGTCTTATAAGGAAAAACCATTTCACCCCCTTGTAAAGTATGAGAAAATGTTGATATAAAGTAATCCCAGGTCACATAACCCTCAGAGAAGTTGATGCCACTTGGTAAATATACCAAACGTATAAAATGTTCTGGATAGAAACAACATAGATGAGATATTCTTCCTCCTGTATAAAATACAGGTGTGGACACCAAAGAAAACAGTAAATTTTGAGGCAGAGGGATGTTTGGTGATATTGACCAACTTGTGAGATTAATAAAGGAAGTGATAGTGTGCAGAGGGGCTATACACAGAAATTATTCTCAGGAAAGAGGTATGTGGGAAAAGAAAAATTTTATTTAGAAGATGTACTGTGCCAAAGTTGTTTCTTAAATATTAATGAAACTGATATTTCCAACAAAGCCAGTAATTTTTATGGAACAATTTAATTTGAATAGGTAAAATGTATTTAAAATGGGGAAAGAAGTCAATTTTTAATATTTTTATATTCTACCCAGTTTTACTCCAAAGCTGCATGATTTTCTATCCCTACAGCAAAAATAAACTGCATATAAATTGGACTTCATCAAAATTAAAACATTTGTCAAAGGCGGCTTTCATTATTTTGAGGAAAGTTGCTTCAATGCCTAGTTTGTTGAGGATTTTTAACATGAAGAGATGTCGAATTTTATCAGAAGTCTTTCCTGTATCTATAGAGATGATTGTGTGCTTTTGTTTTTGTATAGTAAATCACATATATTGATTTGTGTTTGTTGAAGCAATCTTGCATCCCTGGGATAAAAACTACTTGATGGTGGTGGATTAGCATTTACATGTGCTTCTCGATTCAGTTTGCTGGTATTTCATTGAAGATCATTGCATCTCTGTTCAAAGTTCATCAGGGATATTGGCCTGAAGTTTTCTCTCCAGTTGTGTCTCTGCCAAGTTTTGGTATCAGGATGATGCTGGTCTCATAGAATGAGTTGGGGAGGAGTTCTTCCCTTCAATTATTTGGAATAGTTTCAGTAAGAAAGAATGGTACCAGCTATTCTTTATACATCTAATATAATTTGGTGGTAAATCTATCTGTGAATTCACCTTTTTCTTGTTGGTAGGCTTTTTATTACTGATTCAATTTTGGGACTCTTTATTGGTTTGTTTAGGGATTCAATTTCTTCCTGATGCAATCTTGGAAAGTTGTATGTTTCCAGGAATTTATCCATTCTTCTAGGTGTTCTACTTTGTGTGCATAGATGTCTTTATAGTGTTCTCTAAGAGCTTTTTTTCTACTTCTGTGGGGCCAGTGGTAATGTCCCCTTTGTCATTTCTGATTGTATTTATTTGGATCTTCTCCCTATTTTTCTTTATTAGTCTAGCTAGCTGTCCATCAATCTTATTCATTTTTTTCAAAAAACCAACTCCTGGATTTGTTAATCTTTTGTATGATTTTGTGTATCAGTTTCTTTTATTTCAGCTCTGATTTTGGTTATTCCTTGTCTTCTGTTAGCTTTAAGGTCGGTTTTTCTCCTGTTCTCTAGTTCCTCTAGGTATGCTGTTAATTTTAGATATTTCTAACTTTTTGATGTGGGTATTTAGCACTATAAACTTCCCTGTTAACACTCATTTAGATTTGTCCTAGAGATTCTAGTATATTTTATCTTTGTTCTCATTAGTTTCAAAGAATTTTTCGATTTCAAAATGAGAGCCATCTATGACAAACCCACAGCCAACATCATACTGAATGAACAAAAGCTGGAAGCATTCCCCTTGAGAACTGGAACAAAACAAGGATGCCCACTCTCACCACTCCTTTTTTTGGCGGGGGGGTGGAGAAAATCTCACTCTGTCACCCAGGCTGGAATGCAGTGGCGTGATCTCAATCACTGCAGCCTCCATCTCCCATGCTTAAGCGATTCTCCTGTCTCAGTCTCCCAAGTAGCTGGAGTTACATGCATGTGCCACTGTGCCTGGCTAATTTTTGTATTTTTAGTTGAGATGAAGTTTCACCATGTTGTCCATGCTGGTCTCGAACTCCTGACCTCAAGTGATCATCCGCCTTGGCCTCCCAAAATGCTGGAACTATAGGTGTGAGCCACTGCACCCAGCCTCATCACTCCTATTTAACATAGTACTGAAAGTCCTAGCCAGAGCAATCGTGTAAGAGAAAGAAATAAAAGGCCTCCACATAGAAAGAAAGGAAGTCAAACTATCTCTGTTTGCAGACAATATGATTCGCTATCTAGAAAACCCCATAATCTCTGCCCAAAACTCCTAGATTGGATGAAGAACTTCAGCAAGATTTCAGGATACAAAAATCAATGTACAGAATTCAGTAGCAATTCTATACATGAACAACATTCAAGCTGAGAGCCAAATAAACGGTGTAATTCCATTCACAGTAGCAAAATAATAATAAAAAAATACCTAGGAATACAGGTAAACAGGGAGATGAAAGATCTCTACAATTAGAATTATAAAACACTGCTCAAAGAAATCAGAGATGACACAAACAAATGGAAAAACATTCCATGTTCATGGATAGGAAAAGCTGACAAAAAGAAGTGATGGGAAAAGGACTCCCTATTCAATAAATGGTGCTGGGATAACTGTCTAGCCATATGCAGAAGATTAAAGCTGGATCCCTATCTAACATGATATACAAGATAGATTAGAGTCTAAGATGTAAAACCTAAAA
The DNA here is from genome assembly GCF_000001405.40 of Homo sapiens. Classification (NCBI taxonomy): domain Eukaryota; kingdom Metazoa; phylum Chordata; class Mammalia; order Primates; family Hominidae; genus Homo; species Homo sapiens. The sequence continues at coordinate 18,229,057 of NC_000002.12, read as the reverse complement.
CTATAAAAACCCTGGAAGATAACCTTGGAAATATCATTCTTGACATAGGCTTCAGCAAAGATTTTACGATGAAAATGCCAAAAGCAATTACAACAAAAACAAACATGGACAATTGTGACCTAATTAAACTAAAGAACTCCTGCACAGCAAAAGAAACTATCAATAGAGTAAACAGACAACCTACAGAATGGGAGAAAATATTCACAAACTATGCATCCAACGAAGGTATAACATCCAGAATACACAAGAAACTTAATTTAACAGACAAAAAAACAACCACATTAAAAAATGGGCAAATACGGGCCAGGCACGGTGGCTTACCCTTGTAAGCCCAGCACTTTGGGAGGCTGAGGTGGGCAGATCACCTGAGGTCAGGAGTTCAAGACCAGCCTGGCCAACATGGTGAAACCTCATCTCTGCTAAAAATACAAAATTAGCTTGGTGTGGTGGTGCATGCCTGTAATCCCAGCTACTGAGAAGGCTGAGGCAGGAGAATCACTTGAACCTGGGAGGCAGAGGTTGCAGTGAGCCAAGATCACATTACTACACTCCAGCCTGGGTGACAGAGCAAGACTCCATCTCAAAAAATAAAGGCCGGCCAGGCACAGTAGCTCATGCCTGTAATTGTAGCACTTTGGGAGGCCAAGGCAGGTGGATTGCCTGAGCTCAGGAGTTCAAGATCAGCCTGGGCAACACAGTAAAACCCTGTCTCTACTAAAATGCAAAAGAAATTAGCCGGGCATGGTGATGTGCACCTGTAGTCCCAGCTACTCAGGAGGCTGAGGCAGGAGAATTGCTTGAACCAGAAGGTGGAGGTTGCAGTGAGCTGAGATCATGCCACTGCACTCCAGACTGGGTGACAGAGTGAGACTCCAACTCTACAAAAAAAAAAAAAAAAAAAAAAAAAAAAAAAAAAGACCAGGGTAGGGGTGCAGGCAAAGGACACGAACAGACACTTTTCAAAAGAAGACATACACATGGCCAAAAAGCATATGAAAAACTGCTCAACATCACAAATCATTAGAGAATTATTTTAATGCAAATTGAAACCACGATGATATACTATCTCACGCCAATCAGAATTGCTATTATCAAAAAGTCAATGTATTTAATATTAGTCCATTTTCCCAGTGCTATAAAGATACTACTCAAGACTGGGTAATTTATTTTAAAAAATGATGTTTAATTGACTCACAGTTCCACAAGGCTGGGGCAGGCTCAGTAAACCTACAATCATGGCAGAAGAGGAAACAGGCATGTCTTACATGACAGCAAGCAAGAGAACGTGTGAAGGAAGCAAAGGGGGAAGAGCCCCTTATAAAACCATCAGATCTGATGATAATTCATTCACTATTATGAGAACAGCATGGATAAAACTGCCCCCCATGATTCAATAACCTCTCATCAGCTCCCTCCCTTAACATGTGGGGATAAGGGGGATTACAATTCAAGATAAGATTTAGCTGAGGACACAGAGCCAAACCATATCATTCTACCCCTGCTTTCTCCCAAATCTCATGTCCTCACATTTCAAAACACAATCATGCCTTCCCAATAGTCCCCCAAAGTCTTAACTTATGCCAACATTAACTCAGAAGTCCAAGTCCAAAGTCTCATCCACCTTTGGCAAGTCCCTTCTACTTAGGAGCCTGTAAAATCAAAAGCAAGTTACTTCCAAGACACAATGGGAGATATAAAATGGGGCACAGGCATTGGGTAAATACACCCAACTGGCTAAAACAAAGGGGCTACAGGCCCCATCCAAGTTTGAAATCCAGTGGGGTATTTATTAAATCTTAAAGCTCCAAAATAATCTCCTTTGACTCCATGTCTCACATCCAGGTCACGCTGATGCAAAAAGTAGTCTCCCACAGTCTTGGACAGCTCCACGCATGTGGCTTTGCAGGATTCAGCCCACCTCCTGGCTGCTTTCACGGGCTGGCATTGAGTGTTTGCAGCTTTTCCAGGTGCATGGTGTAAGCTGTCAGTGGATCTATCATTCTGGGATTTGGAGGAGGGTGGCCCTCTTCTCACAGCTCCACTAGGCAGTGCCCCAGTGGGAAATCTGTGTTGGGGCTCTGAGCCCACATTTGCCTTCTGCACTGCCCTAGCAGAGGTTATTCATAAGGGCTCTGCCCCTGCAGCAAACTTCTGCCTGGACATCAGGCATTTCCATACAACCTCTGAAATATAGGTGGAGGTTCCCAAACCTCAATTCTTGACTTCTGTGAACCCCAAAGCCTAACCCTACATGGAAGCTGCCAAGGCTTGGGGCTTGCAGTGTCTGAAGCAATGGTCTGAGCTGTATGTTGTCCCCTTTTAGCCATGGCTGGGATGCAGGGCACCAAGTTCTGAGGCCACACAGAGCCCAGCCCAAGAAACCGTTTTTCCCTCCTAAGCCTCAGGTCTGTGATGGCAGCAGCTGCCATGAAGTTCTCTGTCAGACCCCAGAGACATTTTCCCCATTTTCTTGGTGATTAACATTTGGCTCCTCATTACTTATTCAAATTTCTGCAGCAAGCTTGAAGTCCCCCCGCCAGAAAATGGGTTTTTCTTTTCTATCGCATCATCAGGCTGCAAGCTTTCCAGACTTTTATGCTCAACTTCCCCTGTAAACATAAGTTCCAATTTCAAACCATTTATTTGTGAATGCATAACATTGAATGCTTTCAGAATAATCCAGATCACATCTTGAATGCTTTGTTGCTTAGAAATTTCTTCTGCTAGATACTCTAAATCATCTCTCTCAAGTTCAAAGTTCCACAGATCTCTAGGGCAGGGGCACAATGCCGCCAGTCTCTTCACTAAAGCATAGCAAGAGTGACCTTTGCTCCAGTTCCCAATAAGTTCCTCATCTCCATCTGAGACCACTCAGCCTGGACTTCATTGTCTACATCATTATCAGCATTTTGGTCAAAACCATTGAACAAGTCTCTGGGAAGTTTCACACTTTCGCACATCTTCCTGTCTTCTTTTGAGCCCTCCAAACTGTTCCAAACTCTGCATGTTACCCAGTTCAAAAGTCACTTCCATATTTTCAGATATCTTTATAGCAGTGCCCCACTCTCCATGGTACCAGTTTCCATTATTAGTTTGTTTTCACACTGCTATAAAGAAATACCAAGACTGTGTAATTTATAAAGAAAAGAGGTTTAATTGACTCATGGTTTTCAATGGCTGGGGAGGCCTCAGGAAACTTACAATCCTGTGGAAAGGGAAGCAGGCATGTTTTACATGACAACAGATGGGAGAGTGTGTCCTGGAAGCAAAGCAGGAAGAGCCCCTTATAAAACCATCAGATCTGGTGAGAACTCACTCACTATCATGAGAAGAGCATGGGGGAAACTACCCCCATAATCCAATGACCTCCCAAGGGGTCCCTCCCTCAACACATGGGGATAATGGGGATTACAATTCGAGATGAGATATGCGTGTGAATTCAGCCAAACCATATCAGTCAAAACATAATAAATGCTGGTGATGTTGCAGAAAAAAAGGAACACTTATATACTGCTGGTGGGAATGAAATTAGTCCAGGTACTGTGGAAAGCTGTGTAGCAGTTTCTCAAAGAACTTAAAACAGGGGTACTATTTGACAGCAATCCCATTATTGGGTAGATACCCAAAGGATTATAAATCATTCTACCATAAAGACTCATGTACACATATGTTCACTGTAGCACTATTCACAATAGCAAAGGCATGGAATCAACGTTAATGCCCATCCACAGAAAACTGAATAAAGAAAATGTGGTACATATACACCATGGAATACTATGCAGCCATAAAAAAGAATGAGATCATGTCCCTTGCAGCAACATGGATTATGGCTGGAGGCTATAATCCTAAGCAACCTAATGCAGGAATAGAAAACCAAATATTGCGTGTTCTCATGTATAAGTGGGAGCTAAACATTAAATACACAAAGACACAAAGAAGAGAACAATAAACACCAGGGCTACTTGAAGGTGGATGATGGGAGGAGGGAAAGGACTGAAAAACTACCTATGGGGTACCATGCTTATTACCTATGTGATAAAATAATCTGTACACCAAACCCCCATGACACACAATTTACTTATGTAAGAAACTTGCACATGTAAATAAAATAACATAAACCTGAACCTAAAACAAAAGTTTTAGAAAAAGATTAATTACATTGTACAACAGAGTAAAAGTTGACACTGCATAAAAATGAATCATTTTATTCCTAAAGCCTCAACCACCCCTGGAATCTTCTTTCTCTCCCAGCTCAATAAACAAAGCCTGAACATATTCTCTCAACTGTCAGCAGAATCTTAAATATTGTTCTGAAATTCACAAAACAGAACATAAATGTTTTAATTAAAAACAGGGATAGGGAAACTTTCTTTTTTATACCCTCCTCTTAAACAGGAAGCAGATGAATGTTCTTTTTCTAAAATTCACTGAATATGTAGAAAAAAATTAGCAGATGAGTTTGAAACAGAAGCAAAATTCTGGGAAACTTGTACTATCACAATAGCAAATAAATTACCTGCTGAGTTCTTATGTGCAAAAATATATAAATAAATAAATGATTTTGAAATTCAAAACACATTATCACAATGAAAATATAAGCCACAGAGTATAAGAAAATATTTGCAAATGATATATCTGATAAAGGACTTGTTCCAGAATATATAAAAATCTCTCATAACCCAATACTAAAAAGACAAATGACCTAAGTTTAAAATTGGCAAAATATTTGAATATACATTTCATTAAAGGAGATATACAAATGATTAGCTAATAAGCACATAAAATATGCTCAATATCATTAGTTATTAGAGAAATGAAAATTAAAACAATGAGATGTCATATTAGTAAATATGTATGATAATAAAATCACAGGCCATAACAAGTGTTGGCAAAGATATGGGAGAATGTGGAGAAACTGGAACAATATATAATACTCATAGACATGTAAATGGTGCAGCCACTTTAGAAAATGGTTTGTAGGGGCTGGGCGCGGTGGCTCACGCCTGTAATCCCAGCACTTTGGGAGGCCTAGGCAGACGGATCACAAGGTCAGGAGATCAAGACCATCCTGGCTAACACGGTGAAACCCTGTCTCTACTAAAAATACAAAAAATTAGCCGGGCGTGGTGGTGGGCGCCTGTAGTCCCAGCTACTTGGGAGGCTGAGGCAGGAGAATGGCATGAACGCAAGAGGCAGAGCTTGCAGTGAGCTGAGATTGTGCCACTGCACTCCAGCCTGAGCAACAGAGCAAGACTCTGTCTCAAAAAAAAAAAAAAAAAAGAAAGAAAATGGTTTGTCTGTTTCTTAAAATACTAAACACAGATTTATCATATAATTCAGGAGTTCCACTCTTAGCTATATACCCAAGAGAAATAAAAACAAATGCCCACAAAAAGACATTCTATTCAAATATCCATTGTAGCATTATTTGTAATGACCAAGAAGCAGAAACAATCCAAATATCCATTGACAATAGAACTCTCTGTGATGATGGAAATGTTTTGCTACTTGCTGTCTCCAGTATGGTAGTGCCTAGGCACATGTGGCTGCTAAGCACTTCAACTGTGGATTAGTGATATTGTAGAACTGATTTTTTTATTTTATCTCAATTTAAAATTAAATAGTGATACATAGCTAATGGATAGCATATTTAACATCACAACTCGAGACTAATCCAAAACACTGATGTTCTTTTCAGACACTTACCCAATCACTAACCTCAAAGCTGTTTATGATCATAAATGTTAACAAGATGGTCCTTCTTACATTCACTCAGCAAACATTTATGAAACTCCTCCTATGTGTAAGATGCACTTGATAATACAAAGATAAATGGGACATGATACCGCTCTTCAAGGAACTTATAGTCTAGTAAGGAAAATAATCGTGCACAAGTAGACAAATTATAAGTAGGAAATAGTACCTCAAAAGAGGACTTAGACATGTGTTAGTAATCCAACATAGGGAAAATCATTTCCAGCCTACAAACTGAAAAATCCTGAAAAGTTTGGAAGACACAAAGTTGACTAGGGTCTTAAAGATGAGTTACAGATAGTCTCAATGAGGAAGGAAGGGCATTTGTGGCTAAGGGACTTCCTGAAAGAGAGAAGGGCACAGATAGTGCTGGTTGAAGATCAGTCACTTTAGATTGTTTAAAAAAAAAGGCATCGCAAAAACCCTACTCATTCCCCCAAGCTCTTCAAACCCTGACAGTGAAAGTAGTTATTTTATAGATTCTCAGTGCATCATATTAGGAGATATAGCATGCAGGTTTGTCCCATTAGTGGTGACGGTAACTTTGAACACTTGCCTAAGGAAGTGTCCACCAGGCTTCCCCACTCTAAAGTCACTATTTTCCCTTTATAATTAATAGTAAATTTAAGAGACACTTTTAGACTATATATTCTGCTCCTTACCAAATGGTCACCTACAGTTTTAGTGTTAATTAATGAATCTTGCCCAAATCAATTATTATGCTTGCAAAATAATGATTTTTAAATCTCCATCATTGTATCCACATGTAATAGTATTTTATTAGGACCACAGAGGCTCATGGTAAGAGAGTTTTTTTTTCTCTCATTCATTTTTATACTCATTTTTTATTTCAATATAGACTCATGGATCCTTTGCAATAGATTATAGTCCATTGTTATTATCAATTTTGATGCTCAAATTGTCTCAGATTTGGCCAGAAGAGGCATCTTGAAGTTGGCTTTTGATTTTTTCTGACATTTCTTCATTCCTTTTTGAACTCTTCATTACCCTCTGGCATGAAATGTTCCTTATTCATATTCTGTTCTCTCTGCCTTGGAATAAGCCATTTTTCCAAGGACTCCTGGTTATATTTAGTGAGAAAAGGTACTTAAAAACATATTTTTAAAAACTTACGAATTAGACTTGATGTTTTTAATACATGCCATGTACTACTTTTTAACAGAGAGTTTCTGCTAACAGTACCATTAATCCCCACTCTTCTGATAAAGGAAAGTGTGCTACTCTGAACTTTGGGAAGACACAACTCCTTCCAAGCCACCAGCTCAAGAGGAGAGGAGAAAAATCATAGACAAATACAGTAGCAGATACTCCCAAAACAAGTTCTTGGTGATACAAAGGTGATATTATAAACAGAGGGCCACTTCATCCCTCCTCTCAGAAAAGAAATGGGAGATCAGAAAAAAATGTGCCAGGAGCAAGTGCTACCATCTTGGTGGCTAAAAACAGAGCCACTATCATCTAATGTGCTGGTCCCTCCATTGTGACAGGGTCAGAAGGAGTGACGTGCCCCTTTGTACAATTAATGCCATGCTCATGGTCAAAATTATATTGAGAACAAATATACAGCATCCTCATTTGTAACAAGACTATTGCCTACAAGAGAACATAAATGTTCCTCCAGATAAAATATGTTGCTTTTAGTCATGGCAAGAGGAAACCAGCCTCAAATCTCCAGAGTGGAGAGACTAGATGTGATCTGAAATCCCTGTTACCTTCCCCAGGTGAGGCAACAGAATTAAAGACTTTGCCTGCCAAATCTAGGCAGGAGAAAGCTACTATTTACATGTCGATTGACATCAGATGACTTACATTCACAAGCCCTCTGATGGGATGTTTTTCAGTATGGGAATGGGGACAGACTCTGAAGAATGGCTGAGGTACTGCACAAGGAAGATGAAGAAGTTAAAAGTGAGAAAGAGATCTGGAATCCTACTTGAGACACCCACTAAAGACCTGGAAGAGTGAGCCCTTCCCTACTAGAACAAAGTTTAAGTCTTAGTTTCCAGTTTGCTTCAATTGCTCTGGAAAAGCTCAGTGAAACAAGTGCTTCAACCTTCATTGTATTTCAATATGTTTTGGGCCTAAATGAGATATCTGAGTGGCAACCTCTGTACTCCAAGGGTCCTCTCCTGTACAGTACTAGGTGGAACCATTGACAGCAGAACCTTCTTCAAGCACAGGGGAATCAAAAGAACAACTTCTCCAATTTCTCACAGACAGTAAGAAACACTACCAGGACCCTGTTTCACCTGGATTACATATGTCTGTTTCTCCCAAAATAGCATCTCTGATGTGTAATTGTGTACACACCTGCAGGTGACTGCCCAGGCTTTTACCCCCATTTTGTCTGCATTCCATCCCCCTTTTCTTTAGCCCTACAAATGGGTCCATTAGATCACAACCTAGCAGAGCTGGGGGGCCTAGTGCATTATTGATACAGATGGAGGTAACACAGACTACTGTTGCAGGGTATTTGACATTCTTCTCTCATTTATATGCTTAGCATTAAACTTTCCCCTAACATCCAACCCTACACGCTGACTTCCTACCTTGACCATTTCTTTTAGATCTTCAGAATCTCCCAAGCTGAAATTATTACTTGCTTCCTAAATCTAGTCCTACATCTGTTTGCCCAAGTTGTTCAGGCAAAAACAAAAAACAAAAAAAGGATCTTAAGTTTGCCTTAATCAGCCATCAAGTCTAATCAGCCATGAAGTCTCCTTCATATCTCTGGAATTTCTTCTTTTCTCCCTATCCTCCATGGTGTCGCTGGTGGTTCGTGCCCTCATCATCTCTCATCTGTTCTGCTTATTTGGACCTGGCCCATTTGAATAAACCTGCTCGAGAAATAGATTCTGGAACAAAAAATATACAATAATAATAACAATCCTTCATCAGCCTCTCCACTCTGGAATTTGTCCATACTTCTTGTTTCTGCCAGTTCTGCTGACATTTTTTGCACTAATCTCTGTGATTTACTCACTGACATGTGTTGGTCCAAGTTTTGTCTCCCAGTTTACATGTGGAATGCTTCCAGTTTCGACCACCCATCTACAGCATATTACACAGAATCAGCTCAGGAATCACACTTGGACATGACCTGAGAATCTTCCTCTAGCACCATGAGCTTTACTGGGTAACAGGCCCTGTGTGGCCGCCATCCATCTCTGTAGGACCTACCAGTAAGCCCCAGTCTTTGCCAAAGAAAGGAGTCAGAAGTTCTCCACCTTTAGTCTCTCTCATCCCCAAAACATTGATGGTAGTATTTATAACTAATATCTGTGCCGTGCTTTGTAGTTTAAATCTAACTTAAATTCCTTGAAAATCCTCCCAAATTCTCCTACACTGCTATAAGAATCTTTCCAAAACACAAATCTGATCATATCATGTTACTGCTGGCTCCTAGTGGCATGGGAGATGAAAGACATGCTAAGCTTGTCATTTAGGGGTGTCCACTATCAAATTGTCTTTGAGCTGTATCTCCCCTTAATTCTAATCACATTAAGTTATGATGTCTTATTTCCTAAATTCACAAAGATCTCTTGTACCTCTTTCTATGCCTGCCATTCCTTTTTCTTGAATTTTCAGGTTGGAGCAAATGTAATTGTGGTTAATGGCAAAAAAAAATGCAATTACATTTGCACCAACCAAACAACATTCCCCTTACCTTTTCACAGTAATTGCTTCAGTTTAGCTTCAAAGGACACCAACCTCCTAAAACAGTAAACATCTTCCTTCTCTACATTTAGTATCTTCCAGTTTTGATTTGCTCATTAGGCTCCTTGTTCTTCCCAGTAACCTTCTTTAGGAAAGAGACAAAGTCTCTTTCATTCCTGTCTCCAGCATTTGGCATGCACTAGGTGCTCAGTAATAATACTGCTAGGAGGAAGACTGAGGGGAATTCTGTTAACTCAATAAAATAACAAAGAAAAGGAAACTATCAACAGATCAATGCACACGATGTTTTCACTTCAAAGATCAAATTATAATTGTATTTTAAGTGTTTCCAATCACTCTTTAAGCAGCACAGGAATGGGTTATTGCCTTACTCTGAGTTTCATAAAATACAACTGTTCTACCTGAAAATTCCTTTGATTTGTTAAAAAAAATAGTTTTATTTAAAATAAGGAATAAGAAATGATTTCCTAATAGAAGCATTATCCAATCCACTTGTTTATGTTTAATCCAGAACTTATTTTCCTCTGAAAGGCATGACAACAAGATTGAAGATTTGCTGCAATGAAATACTGGTGCAACACTTTATTTCCTCAGTCATTTTGATGTAGACAGGCCACATTGAAATACCCTTGGAGAATCATTTCAGGGTATTTGATATAAAAGAAGTCATTGTACCTCTAAATAATATATCTACATCACTGCAGCTCAGGTTTTAAAGATAATAACTATGCCATAGGTAGCAAGTATATTCATTTCCAGTCATTTTTTCACAAAAGAGGTAAGGAAACATTCTTTTTCAACTTCAGATACCCAGCAAAATCTGCTGATGATTGTCATACCTGTTCAAGACATCATAACCAGGTGATGAGGTCATCAGATTGATGTCCATCAATCGGTGCAATTTGAGCTCAGAAGGTCTAAAGATTGATCACGACAAAACATTGCACAAATTGCCTCCCTAATGTTTCATGGGAAGCTGAGAATTGGTAAAGGATCACTTCTACCTAAGCCCATAAATCTAATCTCAAAATATAGATTCAGAATATTCCCTCTTAAGCAAGAAAGTATGGGCATTCATTACACGGCCTTGCCCCTCACATATATACTCGGAGACATCCCAAATCACAGAATGACAGTATGAAAAATTATTTTTCTAATAGTTGCCATTGGAGTAACTACTTTGTGCTAGACATAGTGATAAATATTGTTTTCAGTTGTGAGTAATCCTCATAGAAACAACGAGGTAGGCATGATTATACTTGTTTTATAGATAAAGTTACAAGCTCAGGAGAGGTTAAATAATCTGAGAAGATTCACACTATTAGCAAAAGTGGGAAATCAGGAATCAATCCCAGATCTGTCCGATCTCAAAGCCCTAGCTCCAATATCAGCAGCCCTTCAAAATTCCCTTCATCTGGGTCTTCTGGAAGAAATACACGCTGTTGTCCACATGAAGACTCAGGCTTTGGTTTCCACATTCCTAGTTTTGGTTACAAGGGTTTAGAAGAGACTTAGGCCTGACTATGTTGAATCATTGAACTTAAACGTGAACCCAACTGCCCGGCTATCATGTTGTCAATTTTATTAGTAAAGAAGAACCTAGAAACTATCATTTCTGGCAATGTGGCAGATTAGTGACCCTGAAAAAAAAAAAACAAACTTTCCCATTGAAAACAGCTAAAAATGCTGGTAGAGACAGAGATAGAGAGACAGAGACCTAGAGAGAGAGAGAATCAGGGAAATTAGGACTCCACAAACCATAATATGACTGTGGAAATCTAAGAGACAAGACCATGTCAAAGTTATCTTACACCTGGCTGTAATCTTGAACTTTATATTCATTTTATGAATTATACATATATATATATAAATACACACGCACACACACACACACACACACACACACACACACAGTCATCCCTTGGTATCCATGGGGAATTAGGTTCCAAGAGTCTCCCTCTACCTCTGCAAATACCAAACTCTGTGGATGTTCAAATCCCTTATATAAAATGGCTAGGTATTTGCATATAACCTAGGAACATTCTCCCATGTACTTTACATTATCTCTCGATTACCTGTAATATCTAATACAATGTAAATGCTGTGTAGTTGTTATCCTGTGTTATTTAGGGGATGACGATAAGAAAAAAATATCTGCACATGTTCAGTACAGACACAACCATTCTTTTTAAAAAATATTTTCAATCTGTGGTTGGTTTAATCAGCAGACACAGAACCCACAGATATGAAGAGCCAGCTGTATATACTAATTTACATATATAAATATATGAATTTTTATATATTCGAAGTGTAAAGAGAATAATAAAAAGACAATCTCAGAGTGGAGTTCAGCGGCAATCTAGCTATCATCATCAAAATAACAATTTGGGCTTATACACAGCAGATTGAATATATATGCATTTACCTCTTCTTCCTCCTGAAGCAATGAGAAAATGGCATTAAATGAATAAAAATAAACATTGTATGAGAGTTTTTTTTTTTGTTGAGACTGAGTCTCACCCTGTCACCCAGGCTGGAGTGCAGTGGTGTGATCTTGGCTTACTGCAACCTCTGCCTCCTGGGTTCAAGCGATTCTTCTGCCTCAGCCTCCCAAGTAGCTGGGACTACAGGTGTATGCCACCACGCCAGGCTAATTTTTGTATTTTTAGTAGAGATGGGGTTTTGCCTTGTTGGCCAGGCTGGTCTTGAACTTCTGACCTCAGGTGATCCACCCACCTCGGCCTCCTAAAGTGCTGGGATTACAGGCTGGAGCCACCGCGTCCGGCCAGATTTTTTGTTTTGTTTTGAGATGGAGTCTCACTCTATAGCCCAGGCTGGAGTGCAACGGCACTGTTAGCCTACTGCAACCTCTGTCTCCTGGGTTCAAGCAATTCTCCTGTCTCAGCCTCCCGAGTAGCTGGGATTACAGGCGCCCACCACCACGGCCGGCTACTTTTTTTGTATATATTTTTAGTAGAGATGGGGTTTTACCATGTTGGCCAGGCTGGTCTTGAACTCCTGACCTCAGGTGATCCGCCTGCCTCGGCCTCCCAAAGTGCTGAGATTACAGGCATGAGCCACAGCGCCCGCCCCGCCTCCCACTCCTTTTTTTTTTTTAATTCGAAGAAGGAAGTATACAAGTGAGTGGGGTAAATAACACAACCATGAGGCACAAATAGAAACTTAGGTGCCAGTAGAGAGCATAGAACAAGAACCAGTGAGGTGTTCTGGGAGAGCTCAGTATTTGGAGGCAGCAAGTGTCTCTGAAGGGTTACTTGGGAGGCTAAAACCAGAAGGGCTTTTCCTAATTGCGGGTCCCATCTCCTTGTTTCTTCTTACATCTCATAACCTTTTAATTTTATAGCAGACACTGTGTTAAAAAACAGTGGCATCTGAAGAATACTAAAGTTTTGAGGATTTTCATTGATTTGTTTCTTTTAGGTCATTTTTATCTCCTCCCGAAGAATACAAACTCTTTCCTATTTTGGCAGCTGAAGCAATTAGGTAGTCATTTGGATTTTGCCAGAAGTCAGTTTGATCTGGAACTGGATTTCAGCATTAACAGGATTAAACTCATCTCTTTTCAGCCCAGTCCCACTGCGAGTGCACAGTTGTGTGTGTGTGTGTGTGTGTGTGTGTGTGTGTGTGTGTGTGTGGTGGGGAGGGGAGAGGGTTTGGGGTGTTGAATCTCTTTGATATTATTCATGTTTGAGTCAGGAGGAGGTGAGCTGAGATTCCACCTTTGGATTTAACATAGGAGGTCCCAGTTCCAGACACAATGAGAATATGCGAGACTTCATGAATTCTTTCTGTGTCTCAGCTTCTCTTTCACTGCCCTGCTAAAGTAAAATTTAGAGGCGAGCAGGGAGAGATTTCAGGCCACAAAAATATTATTGTGTTTGAGGTACTCCAGTTTCAATCTATCTTGGGTACATCAACCATCACCCACAGTACAGCTTGCCTCTTCCAGCCAGGCAAAGCCTCTGGCAGGCTTCTTGTTCCTCCAGCCTCCAGGCAGCTGCCACAGCCCACTACTCACCTTTGAAGGGCTTCTCTCTGTGAAAGTCAATTCATTTAGGTTTCCTCTTGTCCGCTAATTCTCAGTTGTCTCACAGAAAGCATAATTATTATTTTGTCTTTTCTTTTTTTCTTAGTATTACCACAAGAGTGAAGATCTTTTCTATTTATTTACATGCAAACTAAAATCAAAACCTACTTTTTCAGGTTAAATTTTCACCTCACCTTGATAAAATATTTACTCTAAGTCAGACTTCTTCTAGGTCACATGAACATTAGTTGATTATATAGTAAAGATTTTGTTCTCAATCACAAAGAAAATTTTATTGTTAGTCCATAGTTTATTCGATTCCTCTTTTAAAAAATAATGTGATAGTCCAGTATGTTTCTCTATTACTGATGTCTGAAAGAAGTCTCATTCAATTGTTTTCCCATGCAAAGAATTGAGTCATGTAACCACTAATTTCCTTAACTACTAAAAGAAACATCTTTCTGTTAGCCTTCCAGAACAGAGGATTTATATATGGCAAGCCAACTTATTAATCTATGTAAACAACGAAAGCACATTTATTTATGAGTTTTATTTCTTCCATTCTAAAATATCTGGCATAATACAAAACAGTGTTGAGTAGTAATATAAATGGAAAATCAGTCTAAATTTTGAAAAATTATAAGTCAAGCAACTTTTTAAATAATGAGCAAGTTCAGATTATTCATGGGTATGCACAGATTCTCAATAACTATTAATAATATATTGACAAATAGAGATATTATGCTTTTCTTCATTAATAAATATAAAAAATGAGTTGTGGCATGCCATTGACACAAACTGTTCCCTTTTGCAAATATATCTACTATTAGTCTATTTCTCAAACCTGCTTTTTATTGACTGTGCTAAATAACTCAAATTCAGTTTATTGGGCTCATTGTGTTTCCTACACAGACCTCAGCATTGCATATTATTATTTAAAAGAAATAAATACCCTCAATATACCCTAGTTGATGAAAATGGTGATTTTGCTAGAAAACATTGAGTTTTACCCATAAATTTTGGCTTTGGTATATTTAATCAATATGAACAACCAGTCTATCAATAAAAAGCTTTTTAACTGGGAGATGTTTTGCTCTACCATGAATGCAGGGTACTATTCAAAAGACAAAAAATGTTTCCAGTCTCTTTGACTTCAGATTAATTTAAATTTTGTGTTCTGATAATAATCAAATCGGCTTTTTGTTGCTTTTTGCAGAAAAAGTACTAAGATCACTATAGTTCCCCTCTTCCTCATCACAGCTTTTTTCTATCTCAAAATAGCCCCCTCTTTAGCAAACTGGGTAAAAACTGCAACAACAGGTCACCGGGGCTGCGGGCACCGCGTAGGAGTGAGAGGGCAAGATCTGGCATCATCGCGGTTCTCACAGCGGCTGATGCCTTCTCCTGTTTCTCTTTCGGGTATCTTTCCCTCCTCCAACCCAATCTTTTGACACTGAGCAGTACTATAGGGTTGCTGCAACAGATCATGTTAAAAGGAGCACTGAAAAGAGAGATCAGTTTGAAGAATAGATCGCTGGGCCAGACACGGTGGCTCATGTGTGTAATCCCAGCACTTTGGGAGGCCGAGGCGGGTGGATCTCCCGAGGTCAGGAGTTTGAGACCAGCCTGACCAATATGGTGAAACCTCCTCTCTACTAAAAATACAAAAATTAGCTGGGCATGGTGGTGGGCGCCTGTAATCCCCAGCTACTCGGGAGGCTGAGGCAGGAGAATTGCTTGAACCCGGGAGGTGGAGGTTGCAGTGAGCCGAGATCGTGCCACTGCACTCCAGCCTGGGCGACAGAGTAAGACTCTGTCTCACGAAACAAAGAAGGAAGGAAGGAAAGAAGGAAGGAAGGAAGGAAGAAAAGAAAAGAAAGGAAAAGAAAGAAAAAGAAAGAAAGATCACTGGATGAGTGGGTGGGGGCGATCCATTTATCCTTTATTTCCTCTAGCACCTTAGGTCCATCGGCATAAAGCTACCTTTCCTTATCCTTATCTCCTACCACTTCTCTTTATGTACCTGGGGTTCCAGAGAAGCTGAACAGCTTTAATTAGGGATGATCCCTAATTATCCGTCCTTCCTGTGTATTTTGACCACAAAGCATTTTGGTTTCACTACTTTCAGTAAACAATCAAGGTTCAATCAACAGTGCCTTATTCCCTTTTGATCTTCCTATATCACTTTTTTTCTGTTTTTTAAGTAATTTTAGTCATATCTTTACTTCCTACGAGCTCTTTCAGAGCAGGAACCATAGGATAGACGCGTCTATATTCCAGGACACCTATAAGATGCTCAGCGAGGACACCTATAAAGTGCTCAGCGAGCATCCATACAATGAAAGAGTAAAGGAACACAGTACTTTGAAAACAAAAACATATTTAGCACCCTAGAAAACTAAGGCAGTTAAAAATTTCATTATTTAAAAATAGTTTATTTAATCTCACCAAAGACTTGAAGTCTGAACAGAGAAAAAATAATTTTAACCACATGAACCCTTAATGTCTCCAAAAAAAAAAAAAAAAAAAAAAAAGGAGGAGGAGGAGGAAGAGAAAGAAGGTAGGATATGAGCAGGAGGAAACTGAAACGAAAAGATGTTAGTTATGTAGTCGCAGCTGATGCAATTATTTGGGATGTGGAGGTGGGTCTTGTCGTGAAGCAGAAGAATTTAACACTAAATAAATGTATTCAACTAACTGGAATGATGATCAAAATGCTTTCTCTTTGCCTGGCAATCATCTGAGAATGGCATTATAGTGAGTAGCTTAAGGAAGGGGATGCCCAGTCACTGATTCTCTAATTGCACATATTGATTATGACCAAGACTGCTTACTTACTGATGGGAAGGAGCCGTTTGGAAATACTGTAACTCCAGTGTAGTTTTGCAGAGCAGAGCTATGCCTTGGTATCGCAGTCCAAGGAAATAGAAATTTCACATTAGAGTTTGAAAGAACCCATGGATCCTCACATTTTCATTACATTTTAGAGTTTATGGCAGAGAACTTAGTTTTACTTTCTTTAGAACATCTCTTTGGACTCAACTCTCTCATCCATTTTCTGGTTAGTGCTTATAACTATCAGATTAGAAACAACACATCCCAAGAAAAATTACCTGTCCTGGAGTTGAATTTTGCAGCACTAATATGTACCCCTAAAACACATCCTTACTAAAACATTTAACATTTTAATTTCCTTTAAAAGAAGAAGCCAGTGAAATGTTGAGCTTGGTGTTTAGCTATCCTTTTGAGAAAGAAAATCTAATTTGGAGTGTGATTGTACCAAACTACAAAGAGTGATGTAAAAACCTTCCTGCGAACAAAGGAGACACTGCACTGGCTGAGCACACACTGCACTGCAGGTGTTGAGCTTCATAGGTCATATTTCACCCATTTTCTTCCCTTTTAGTCTTTTATTCTCAAAATATGCTTCTGAAGTCAACAGTAATATACTCATTTGTATAAATCCCCATTTGTATAATTTATTGTTTGTATAACAGTAAAATTAAATTCAGGTTTGAAGTTATATGCTCAAAATCATAAAATTTGCAAATCATAGACCAGAGATTTGAACTTGTATCTTTCTGACAGCAAATTCCCTGTTCCTTGTACTACATTGTAGTGACAAGAACACTGTCTTAAGGGGGACAGGTAGAAAGAGGTCTCCAGTAAGGGAGAAAGTGTTTTAGGGTGAGGAGTTGGGGGCTCTAAAAATACCCTTTAATTTAACCCAGTGCCACCCAGGGTGGCTCCCAGTTGGAACATTCCTCCTTATATTCATGGCCAGCATTCATGAAACAGGGCTGTCACATAAGTGGTACTTAAGTAAACCAAAGGCAGGTAATGCCTCCTCTTGATCCCAGAGAACGCTGCACGATACTCTTTTATATAAAATTTGTACATTGTACTTCCATACGTAGGGTCATATGATGGTTACATGTCAGAGCCCTATAATTACACTAATTTGATTCAAATCCCAGTTCCAAAAATCCCTAGATACGTTATCTCAGAAAAGTCATTTAAGACCTTTGAAGCCTCTGTTTTCTCATCTCTAAAAGAGAAGTAATCTCAGAACCGATTATCAGGACTATTATCAGAATTAAATGAAATGGTTCATGTCCAGCACCAGTGAAATGTTTAGCACATAGTAAGTACTTAAAGAATGTTTGTGTATTGTGTAGAAGGCTGTGTGTACACTGAGGATAACAATATTAATCTGGTCTTCTATTTATAGGCTTGGTATGTATGTAAAGAGCAGCCAGTGGCAATTTGTAAAGTGCCTATGTATTTCTGGACATGACATTATTTTTATATAAAAGACTAATAAGATATTTTCTTAAGGGCCTCTTTACTACCTGTCACATGGGATTTGCTGGTAATTAACTCTGTGTATATGGCTAAATGATTCTTGAGACATAGCGATTAGAAATCATTAAATAAGACTAAAATCAAAATGGGAATAAAAACAGGCTCAGAAACAAGGCTACATCTAAGGTAAGAGCAAACTGTAAAAATATTAATTTGCAAACAGATCTTTGATGGTTAGGAATCCATCTTACAGGTGTCTAGATACTCTGAACTTTTCTCTTATGACTAAGAAATCAGGAAAGCTTTTAAGGAATTTCTCTCTGAGTTGTCAAAAATTTTAATAGATACCACTACCACTATGTTAGCTCATACGACACACTATACTTAGTGTGCTTTTGACTTTGACAGTGTTTTCGAGCATAAAATGTGATGCATCATATCTAAATATCTTAATCAGCTGAAATGAAATTACTTTAAATTCCCCCAGGAGCTTATTTTTTAATGGCTTTGGGACTAAAATTAGCTTTAATTCAATAGCATATATGTTCATCAATTTGCCAAAGAGACTGTAGAGAGAGGTGGAGGGAAAGAGAAGGAACAGACCAACTTTATGATCTGCTGCCACATGACTTTGAGGTAGAGTGTCTGATGCTAAGACCAATTCTGTTTCCACTAAACCTGATGACTTCCCCAGGCCAGGGTGCTGAAGTTCTTTAAGCTTTAGGATTACAGAAGGCTTATCATTACAGCCATAAATCATAGCAGTAAGAGAATGAAAAGATGTCCTAGTGGAATTCAATTGGATTAAAGAAACAAATAGACCTGAGGCATGTTTGTACAGCTGCATGAGTTACTCATAACAAAGGACTGTCTAGCCTTAGGATCAGCCTGGACTAATTTGGCAGTGGAATTGAGATGCTGTTGAGTTTGCACTGGTCTAGCCGCTCTGTGAGATTAATGAGTAGTCATCATCGATCACATCTGTTTATGCAATCATTTAAATACAATGCATTTGAGCTAATCAGAATTCCCAATCTCCCCAAGCCTGAAACAGCCCAAGTTGGAAAGTATTAATAGGGAAGTTGTCATAATACTGACTGCCCTCTTGGTCAGGACAGCTCAGCCAAGGCTGGTTCTTCACAGTTCTGAAAAGAAGTCATATGACAAACTGGACTTCACAGTGCATCCTGCGTTAGACATTTGTAACATCCTGCCATAGCCTTGATGCAAAAATAGGGCTACAGAGACACTGAGAACACGAGAATTACCTATTCCAGGTATCAGTCCTGGAAAGGACAGCCAGGATGCTCAGGTGACAGTAGGCATGTGGGAGGAGAGATGGTCACAATCTCCATTATGCCCTTGCTCAGGTAAGCTGAAAATAGCAGCAGGAAGTCTGGACTTTGAGCAGATGCTCCAGAGTTAGATTGTTGTTGCCCATTGTACTAGGAAATCAATACATATGCAATAAGGCTCTGAGTAGTGGCCAAGGGGATGAAATGGGACCCAAGCCAAGAAAAGAGGGATTGACAAAAACTTGGATGGGGCTGGGTGTGGTGATTCACACTTGTAATCTCAGCACTTTCGGAGGCAGAGGCAGGCGGATCACTTGAGGTCAGGAGTTTCAGACCAGCCTGGACAACATAGCGAAACTCCATCTCTACTAAAAATACAAAAATTAGCCAGGTGTGGTGGCACATGCCTGTAATCCCAGCTACTCAGAAGGCTGAGGCATGAGAATTGCTTTAACCCGGGAAGCAGAGATTGCAGTGAGCCGATATCGTGCCCATAACCCCACTGTGGGCTGAGCATCTGTTTACAACTACAGAAGTGTTCCAAGGCAGACAATTTGCCTATGGACATGGCCCACGGCCACCTACAGGATGGAGACTCATTGGTTGTCCATGGTTCATCCTTGAAACAGTTAGACACTCCCCAGAGTCCAGTTGAAAGAAAAGAGGTATTATTGATGCCACATGGGAGGTTATATTTGTGACTGAATGACTGGACCAATGACTGTCAGATTTTAAGTCCTTGACTCTAGATTGGGGAGTCAGCTGGGGTGGGAAAACCCTGTTCTCATGCATCCTTCTTTTAGGAAGCCCTGAGGCTACAACAGATGGCCTGAAGCCTTCAGAAGGATTAAGCTCAGGCAGAGCCTTACATCTACTGTTTGAAGAATTATAAATTCGTGTGACTTTCTCCCACTTCAGCATCACTTCCAAAGATGATAGTACATATCAGTTTAAAATAAACTGGCCTCCATATGCTATAGTAGAAAGAACATAAACTTTGTAATCAGGTAGACCCAAGTTGAGGTATTGGCTTTGCTACTTCCTGGATAGGTACTGAAGCTGAATCTAATTATTTTCTACAATGTATTCTGTGTACAGATAAAATGCATTGATGATTAAATGAAGGGAGAATTATTTTCTAATCTGAAAAATATATAATACTTCTACATTACTTGTGAGAATTAAGTAATATAGTTAGTATGAATAACCAATAAATATTCACTTTCTTTTTTATCATATTGTGTTGTCTATACAAGAATACTATATTTATGATATTTTTATTGGATTCAACAATAGAAAGTATTTTGACTTAATCTGAATCATGGGATAATTGATGCAACAAGAATAAGTGGTGAAATGAAAAAAATCCTCAATAAAATATTAGCAAACAGAATCCAACAGTGTAGAAAAAGAATTATAAATGATGGCCAAGTAAGATTTGTCTTATGGTATGCAAGATTGATTCAACATTTGAAAATTTATTAATGTAATCTATCACTTCAATGGGCTAAAGAAGAAAAATTACATAACTATAGCAATAGATGCAATAAAAGGCATTTGACAAAATCCAACATCCATTTAGGATGAAAATGATTGACTAACTAGAAATAGATGAGAGCTTTCTCAATTCAATAAAGAATATCTACAATAAACCTTCGGCTATCATTATCTTTAATGGTGAGAAACTAGAAGCTTTCCCAATAAGATCAGTAATAAGACAAGAATGTACCCTCTCACCATTCCTTTTTAACATCATACTGGAAGCCCTAACTAATGCAATAAGACAAGAAAAGGAGGAAAAAGGTATACAGGCAGGAAAGGAAGAAGTAAGATTGTCTTTATTCATAGATGACATAAAAATCTAGGTGGAAAATCTGAAATAATCAACAAAAATAATTTCTGGAACTAATAAGTAATTATAGCAATGTTTCATGATATAAGGTTAATATGCAAAAGTAAATCATTTTCCTATATACCAACAATGAACAAGTAGAATTTAAAATTAAAAACATAATGCCATTTACTTTAGCACCTCCAAAAATGAAATACTTAGATTTAACCCTAACATAACATATACAAGATCTATTTTTCTCATATGTAAGAAAAATTCCAAAACTCTGATGAAAGAAACCAGAGAAGAACTACAAAAATGAAAAGCTATTTCATGTTCGTGGATTGGAAGATTCAATATCATCAAGATGTCATTTCTCAATTTTATCAATAAATTCAATGCATTCTCAATCAAAGTCTCAGCAAGTTATTTTGTGGATATTGACAAAGCATCTACAGTTATATAGAGAACAAGAGACTCAAAATAGCCAACACAATATTAAAGCAGAAAGAGAAAGTGAAAGGATTGATACCCCCAACTTTGAGGGGGTACAGTAATCTAGACAGTATGGTATTAATGGAAGAATAAATACTTCAATATAATTGAATAAAGAGTCCAGAAATAAATCCACATGAATATAGTCAATTGATCTTTGGCAAAGGAGCAAAGACAACGTAATGGAGAAAAGATAGTCTTCTTGAGAAATGGTGCTGCAACAACTAGACATTCACATGCTAAAGAGTGAAACCAGACACAGGCCTTATACTATTTATAAAAATTAACCCCAAATGGATTGTAGGCTTAAATGTAAAACAGAAAACTATAAAACTTTTAGAAGGTAACAGTATAAAATCTAGATGACCTGAGTATGGCAATGACATTTTAGCTACAACATTAAGGACACAATCCGTGAAAGAAGTAACTGATAAACTGGACTTTATTGAAATTTAAAATTTCTACTTGGCAGAAGACACTGTCAAGAAAATAAGGAGGCAAGCCACAAACTGAGAGAAAGCATTTGCAAAAGACATAGCTGATTAGCTATTATCCAAAATATACAAATAATTCTTAAAACTCAACAAAAAGATGAACAACTTAACTTAAAAAAATGGGGGCAAAAGACCTGAAGAGACACCTCACCAAAGAAGATATACAAATGGAAAGTAAGTCTATGAAAAGATGCTCCATATTATGAAATACAAATCAAACAATGAGATACCATCACATCCCTATTGGAATGGTCAAAATTCAGAAAACTGACACTACCACATACTGGTGAAGATGTAGAGCATTAGAAACTCTCATTCGTTGCTGGTGGGAATGCAAAATGGTACAGCCACTTTGGAAGACAGTTTGGCAGTTTCTGACAAAACCAAACATAATCTTACCATATAATCCAGCAATTGCACTCTGTAGTTTCTATCCAAATGAATTGAGAACCTATGTCCACAAAAAAAACAACCTGCATATGGGTGTTTATAGAATCTTGATTTATAATTGCCAAAAATTGACAGCATCCAAAATGCCCTTCAGTAGATAAATGAATAAATAAACTGTGGCACATCCAGACTCTGGAATATTATTTAGCAATACAAAGAAATGAGGGCCAGGCGAGGTGGCTCATGCCTATAATCAGGTCTTTGGGGTACCAAGGTGGGAGGATTGCTTGAGCCCAGGAGTTCAAGACCTGCCTGGGCAACATACTGATACCTGGTTTCTACCAAACATAAACAAAATTATCCAGGCATGGTGGTGTGCACCTGTAGTCACAGCTACTTGGGAGGCTGAGGTGGGAGGATTGCTTGAGTCTAGGAATTCAAGGCTGCAGTGAGCCAATATTACACCACTGCACTCCAGCCTGGGCAATAGAGTGACAAAATGAGACTCTGTCAAGGAAGAAGGGAAGAAAGGAAAGAGGAAAGGAAGGAAGGAAGGGAAGGAAGGAGGGAGGGAGGGAAGGAGGAAGGAGGGAGTGAGGGAAGGAGGGAGGGAGGGAGGAGGTGTCAAGACATGAGACAATATCGAGAAATCTTACATGCACATTGCTAAGTAAAAGAAGTCAAGCTGAAAAGGTAACATACTGTACAATTCCAACCGTATGACATTCTGGAAAAGGCAAAACTATAGAGATACTTGCAAGGTTGTGGGAGGAGGAAGGTATGAATAGGTAAAGAATAGAGGACTTTCATTGCAGTAAAACTATTCTGCATGATACTATAATGGTAGAAACATATCATTATACATTTGTCCAAGCTCATAGAACGTACAACTCCAAGAACGAACTCCAACGTAAAGTATAAACTTTGGGTGATAATGATGTATCACAGGTTTATCAGTTGCAAGACATGTACCACTATGGTGCAGGATGTTGACAGTGGAGGAAGCTGTGCTTGTGTGGGGAAAAGGGGTATATGAGAATTGTCTCTCCTTTCTGCTAAATTTTGTTGAGAACCTACAATTGCTCTAAAATAATAAAGTCTATTAAATGTTTTAACTTAATCTTAATTTTAATTTAAAAATAAAATAAATGATGTTATTCACCATTACTGCCCCAGACGTTCATCCTAACTGCAAAGTATGAAGGCAATGTTGAATCACAGATTTTCTTGGCTTGTTATTTTACATCGCTAACTTGGTTTTGACATTAACAGTTAGCATCCAAAACAATCTTAACCATCAGGAATATGACTTAGCCCTACAATTCAGGGACCATAAGGAAAACATTTTCAAGTTGTGTTAATGTAGGTCTCACTACAATGAATCTCTTAAACCAATATCTCACTAAAATCAGAGAATATTTCTAGAACTCTCAAATAAATAGCAATAAGACTATGCATAATTGCATAGAAGTCAGTCTAAAATGCAACAAAAATGAACACCATAGTTGACATTGAACCAATATAATGAGTTGTTGGCCAATAAGCCTGAAACTCTTCTGTGAGCTGAGATGGAACAGCCACAAGTTGCTTGAACATTGTTTGAAAATGAGATTGTCATGTTTTCTGAGTCTCCAAAAGGAAAATAGACACATATGACAAATACTGAAGAGAAGACTCATCCAATTATTCTCTAATAGTTGATGTATGGCTGCATCCTTGCTCTGTGCCTCATCAGCTGAAGATTCCAGGCATGTAGTCCAGTTGCTAAGAATGTGGGTTCTGTAGTCAGACACATTGGGGTTCCAAACCTTTGGAAGTATATTGCTTAGTTTTTCTGAAAGGGGAATAATACCTACTTAACTTGATTGTTGTGAAATTCAGTAAGACCATATATATATATTTAGCATCATGCTTCAAACAAAGATATATTACGTTGAAAAATATTAGGTTTAGAGACACATATCTGTCTATTTCTATATTCCTCATACATCGTTCATTCATTCATGTGTATATTCATTCATTTATTCAGTCAGCCAGACACACACAGATTGACCTAATTATTTTACCACAAAGCACTAAACAAATATTCACTGTGTGCCAACCACTGTGCTAGGGACTAAGAGAGATATAGAATGTTGTTTTAGTCCGTTTTCACACTGCTGATAAAGACATATCTGAGACTGAGAATAAAAAGAGGTTTAATTGGACTTACATTTCCACATTGCTGGGGAGGCCTTAGAATCATGGCGGGAGGCAAAAGGCACTTCTTACACGGTGGCAGCAAGAGAAAATGAGGAAGATGCAAATGCAGAAACCCCTGATAAAACCATGAGACTTGTTCACTACCATGAGAACAGTATGGGAGAGATGGCCCCCATGATTCAAATTACCTCTCACAGGATGCCTCCCACAACATGTGGGAATTATGGGAGTACAACTCAAGATAAGATTTGGGTGAGGACACACATTCCACCCCTGGCCCCTCCAAATCTCATGTCCTCACATTTCAAAACCAATCATGACTTCCCAAAAGTACCTTAAAATCTTAACTCATTTCAGCATTAACCCAAATGTCCACAGTCCAAAGTCTCATCTGAGACAAGGCAATTCCCTTCCACCTATGAGCCTGTAAAATCAAAAGCAAGCTAGTTACTTTATAGATACAATGGTGGTACTGGTATTGGGTAAATACAGTTGTTCCAAATGGGAGAAACTGGCCAAAACAAAGGGGCTACAGGACCCACGCAAGTCCAAAATCCAGCAGGGCAGTCAAATTTTAAAGCTCCGAAATGATCTCCTTTGACTCCAGATCTCACATATAGGTCATACTGATGCAAGAGATAGGTTCCCATGGTCTTGGGCAGCTCCTCCTCTGTGGCTTTGCAGGGTACAGCCTCCCTCCTGTCTGCCTTCATGAACTGGTGAGTGTCTGCGGCTTTTCCAGGTGCACAGGGCAAGCTGTAGGTGGATCTACCATTCTGGGGTTTGGAGGATGGTGGCCCTCTTCTTACAACCCCACTAGGCAGTGCCCCAGTAGGGACTCTGTGTGGAGGCTCTGTCCCCACATTTCTCTTCCACACTGCCCTAGCAAAGGGTCTCCATGAGGGCCCCGACCCTGCAGCAATCTTCTTCCTGGGCATCCAGGCATTTCTATACATCTTCTGAAATCTAAGTGAAGATCCCAAAACCCCAATTCTTGACTTCTGTGCACCCACAGGCTCAACACCATGTGGGAACAGCTAAGGCTTGGGGCTTGCACCCTCTGAATCCACAGCCCAAGCTCTATATTGGCCACTTTCAGCCACAGCTGGAGTGGCTGGGACGCAGCACATCAAGTCCCTACACTGCACACAGCACAGGGATCCTGGGTCCTGCTCATGAAACTATTTTTTCCTCCTAGACCTCCAGGTCTGTGATGGAAGAGACTTCCACAAAGGTCTCTGATGTGCCCTGGAGACATTTTCCCCACTGTCTTGTGGATTAGTATTTGGCTCCTCATTACTTATGCAAATATCTTCAGCTGGCTTGAATTTCTCCTCAGAAAATGGGATTTTCTTTTTTATTGCATTGTCAGGCTGCAAATTTTCCAAACCTTTATGCTCTGCTTCCCTTTTAAAACTGAATGCCTTTAGCAGCACCTAAGTCACATCTTGAATGCTTTGCTGCTTAGAAATTTCTTCCGCCAGATACCCTAAATCATTTCTCTCAATTTCAAAATTCCGCAAATGTCTAGGGCAGGGGCAAAATGCTGCCAGCCTCTTTGCTAAAACATAACAAGGGTCACCTTTGCTCCAATTCCCAACAAGTTCCTCATCTCCATCTGAGACCACCTCAGCCTGGATTTCATTGTACATATCATTATCAGTATTTTTGTCAAAGCCAATCAACAAGTCTCTAGGAAGTTCCATACTTTCCACATTTTCCTGTCTTCTTCTGAGCCCTCCAAACTGTTCCATCCTCTGCCTGTTACCCAGTTCCAAAGTCACTTCCACGTTTTTGGGCATCTTTTCAGCAATGCCCCACTCTACTGGTACCAATTTACTGTATTAGTCCATTTTCATGCTGCTGATAAAGACATACCAGAGACTGGGAAGAAAAAGAGGTCTAATTGGACTTACAGACTCACATAAGGCCTCAGAGTCATGGCGGGAGGTGAAAGGCACTTCTTACATGGTGGCAGCAAGATAAAATGAGGAAGATGCAAAAGTAGAAACCCTTGATAAAACCATCAGGTTTCATAAGACTTGTTCACTACCATGAGAACAGTATAGGGGAAACGGGCCCCCATGATTCAAATTATCTCCTACTGGGTCCCTCCCACAACACGTGGGAATTATGAGAGTACAATTCAAGATGAGATTTGGGTGAAGACACACAACCAAACAATATCAAATGTTATTAAGGATTTCTACAAGCTTAATAGAAGACTAGGATATGAGCACAAATAATAATAATACAAAGTACAAGGTATTAAATGGCACAGACTGCACTAATTGAAATGCATTGGATGAAAGACAGAAGTCACTTTAGCAGGGTAATCAGGACAGTCTTCACAGAGGAGATGCTATTTCAGCAAAAGCTTGAAAAAGGAGTTGAAATTGGACTTTCAGAGATGAAGAGAACAAGGGGTTCTCAGACAATCTGCTGCTCTTCCTCTTGCAAATAACCCCACTGCCATGAAATTCTCAATCCACAGCATTTAAGAGCTGCCCTCCTCTCATCTTACTATGAAAAAACTGACACCCAGAAAGAGGAGTTAGCCCCAGCTTATAAGGTTGGTTAGTGGCAAGTCCAAGCTGAAAATCCAGATAGCCTGACTCCCATCCCAGAAATCATCTGCTCCTCATTAATACTCACTGAATAGCCAGTACCTGCTTAATGTCCTGTTTAGATATTCATTTTCCACATGTCTAACTTAGCAGAGCTAAATTATAGCAGAACCTGACCACCAATAACTTTGTTTGCATTTGGCATAAACACAGATATATGGATGGTGCTGGAGTCTGGTCTAAGTTGAAATATGGTGGTCACTCATGCAAATTATATAATAACTCCCCATCACTGCTCCAATATTTATCCTTGATCTCAGTATTGGATTAATTCCACCCACAGCTGTTTTCCCTATAAATGTTCTTATTTGATTCCATCAATATTCAGATGTTGCTCTTATACTAGCAAAATCAGACACTGGAAAGATACTCAACTTTATGGTTTTTTTTAACCTTGAGGCTAAATGAGTGGATGGATGAATAGATCTTTTGCATCACTTATTAATAACAGACAGAGAACCATGGCCCTCAAAGAAGCAGAAGGATCAACAGCCAAGCATGGGGAAAATAATAGATCTCTGGCATTCTGAAAGGTTTGACAAGAATCCAGTAGATGAGCAGGCAACAAGTGAAGTGTCCTGGTCATCTGACAAATTACAAAGAGACTAATTTGGAGAGAAAGGCAGGTAAAGGTCCAGATCCAACAGTCTTTCTTAGGAATCTGAAGAAGGAAGAGGCAACATGGGAGTTTGCCCTCCAATGCCAGATATGAATAAATACAAAGAAATTTAATTTCCCCACATTTTTCCTCTGTTGCCTTTCCCATCCTGGTCAAAGCTAAACTAATAATTGCAGGTCAACATGCATTAAAAATCAGAGGCTGGTTGTAGTTCTTTGATTCCATTTTGCTGGTCCTTCCATTCAAAGGACCACATTGGGGTAAGATCCAAGATGCATGCTGAGTTTGGTAATGAACCAGAGCAGCTGGCCTCATGGCCTGCTTTAGGCTGAGGCCCAGTTACCTAATAACAAGTGCTCTACACAGTTCAGATGGTCAGAATTCTCTGCATTTGGCTTTTACGCCAAATCTCAGCTAATAATAATGTGCTGTTCACTTCTGTTTTCCCTAACTCCCTGAAAGCATGTCTCCCTGGGGAACCCATGAGGAGCAGTGGATGTGATCCAGGCACAATGCAGGTATTCTTGGAATCACAGGTCATTACAACATCAATGTATTCAAAACTCCATTCATTTTGTTTTCAAATGTAAGCGATACCTAGATATCTGACTTTTAATGTTCTGCCACTTTCCAGAAATATAAATTTGAGACATTAACTAATATATAAAGATCATAAGAAAAACGAGGTTATGGGGTTGTTTTAAAAGTCAAATGAGTTAGCAGAAGTGAATTTAGTTTATAAATTGTAAAGAAATGTGCAAATATGTCATGTTGTATAAAAGATAATGACTTAGGGGCCAAAGAGGAATGTTTTAAGTACATCTGGTCCTTAGAAGCAACTTAGTTCTCTGTGCTAAATTTCAAGGCCCACATCTGTGAAATGGGTTAAATAATACCTTCCTAGAAAGATTGTGCTAAGTTTAGATAAAATAATATTTGTAAAGTATATGAAACCCATTGTCATTTCCCTATGGTTCTTTTTATTACTGTATATGCTATTCTTTTAATTACTTCTGCTATATTAGCATTGGAGGAGTAAGGATGATCAGCAGTAACGACAGAACTATGCTTCTTTGACAGGGGCTGTCTTTAGAACAGGCTGTCTTCTGAGTTTATTGCACCAGGCTGGGGGCACAGACAGCATCAGACCCATATCTGTGAGGTACAAAAAAAGAGGCCCACAGTAGAGCCCAACTTTGCACCAGCATCAACAGAAATCTTTCCCCGCTGTTCTGGGTCTCCCTTGAGGTCTTTGCATGGAAGTAGCCCTCTCCCACAGGCACATTCAGCAAATCATAGGACTTCTGGAAGGCTGAAATCCCCTGTCACAGCTCCAGCATGACTGTGCAGCTGTGCTTGGGCCCTACCATGGACCTAGCATTGTTTAGCTTTAAATGCATCACTGTCCTCAGCCAGGCACTGGCTCTGAAGTGAGAAATGTCCAATATTCATAAAACACAGCCAGGGCCCAGCAAAGCCAAATGCACCCTTTACAGTAATTACGCCTCAGCAAAAAGAGCTCTATGGCTAAGGATTTGACCTCTCAGCTTGGAAAGGCAGGAACAGATCAGTGACCCCAACCTGTGAACTGGAGCACTGACATGGATAAGCAGGTAGACCGGTACCGCCCCCCCACCTCTCTCTGGACTTGCACAAGTAATAAAAAAGACAATTGCTGCTCAAGAAATGAAATGACAGCTCATCTCAGAACTTTCTCAGCTGATCAGTTGCTCACTCCTATATGTACTAAGTGCTCAGCACAGTGCTAGAAGGGTAAAAAGCCTGTGTTCAAGGAGATGACTATCGAGCTTATATTTTGCTTGAAGAGTATTCACCAGGCAGCGTTTTATCTTGGCATGCTTTTAATTTTTACCCATGAACTTAACCATCTAAATTCAAATTGCTAGGCAATGTTTCACCTTACTTCTCTACTTCTTTCCATGGATTCTAAAGAACAAAAACAAACTATGCATAAGTTCTGTATATTGTCTTACAAATCAGGAGATTTCATCCCTGTTCTTTCACCATCTGATTATGTAACCTAGAGCAAATTACATCCTTTCTCCAGGCCTTTGTCCTTATATGAAAATTCAGGGATGTGTATTAGCAATCTTTAAGGACCTATTGAGGACCACGGTACTAGAAGTCTTCCAACAGAATCACTCCTATAGACTTAGACCTCTCCCACCTCCTTCCCAACCAAAGGCTAGCTTTCTGACTGGTGGACTAAAATGATACTTCAAAGAATCATTCTGGTTGCTAAGCTGCTGAGAATTTTAAGAATCAAGCTAGAAATACTAATAAGACCAATGACATTTCATACAAAGCCTTTGAATAGTGCTTTATCTCCTTCAATGTATTACAACACTCATTGATCCATTCTATCCACGGTGAACCAGAGTAATACATTTAATTAGTGACATGCGGGAGAAGCCAGTCTGCTGCAAACTGAGGGTTATAAAACCACTGTTAAGTGTATATTAAAATCCTAACTGTGCCAGCTGCTGTAGACAGCCATAATTGGGCTTTACTTTCCTTCTGTGCCTAATGTGGCCCCTGCACATATGAGCCCAGGCAAGGCAGAACAGACAAATCCATAAATACTTGGGCTTTGCTGCAATCCAAAAAGGTTTACAGAAAGTCATGAAAAGAAAAGCTGTTGATTTCTAGTGAGTCCTCCCCTCTCTGGGCCTCAGTTTCTTCATCTGTGAATTGAGGCAGGTATAAACCTCTTAGGTCTGTCTCTGTTTACCATCTAAGATCGCTCACCACATCACACCATCCATAATTTAGGCGAACTTCTTTTCTCTCTTCTTACCTCCCACCCAGATAAATAGAGGAGTAGATGGCAGCCCACATTTTGACTGAGGCCAGGAAGGGGTCAGCAAAGGCATTTTATGAAGTAGAAAGAGCATTAGACTTTGATCAGGAGTGCTGGGTGTCTCGATGCAACCTGGACTGAATAACAAGCATCATTTATTGAATGACGAATAGTTCCTGTGTGTCTGCACTGCACTATTTGCTTTAACTCTCACAACAGCTTTGAGAGGTAGGTGTTGTTAACCCCATTTTACAAGTGAGAAAACCAAAGCTCAGAAATGCTAAATAACTTGTTCAAGAACTCAGAACTGGTAAGCAGCAGAGCCAGAACTGTAAACACCTCATCTTCTTGTTATTTCTTTCTGCACCTCATTTTCTCCCTCATGGAATGAATTGATTTAAATCTACTTTATTAGATAAGTTAATAATTAAATCAGAAAAAAATAGAAAAAGATTTTGAGGAAACATAAATCCAAGGAGAAATGTTTATGTCCTATAAAAGGAAAGTAAGTCCCCAAACAGGTGGATAAATTTCCTGAAGTCCTCACATTCAGTGTCAGAGCTCTAATAAAAATTCATCCCTACAAGGCTGGGGTACAGTATGGGACCAGAGCTGCTGGAAAACTCTCCTGGATACCCTCTGGTTCCCACGGCTCTGGTTTTCCTTTCCCGCCAGGTGGCCAAGGCAGCAAGACACAACGTTCCTCTCGAGTTGTTTTGTCTCAGCACTCTCGTGTTTTCTCAGCCTCGTTCATTCTGAACACAAACTAGAATGAAGCTGGATGTCACTTTTTTACTCTAAGAAACATCCACAGAAATATGTACATTTTGATCTTTCCTGCAGAACAATATAACCTAGAACTCTAAAATGAAAGGTGGAAACAAATCCACACATTTGTTAAAGGAAGTGATATACAGCTGCAAACTCTTGAAAAATCTTATACCTGCTGGCTTTGAAATCACTGTTTGACTTGACTAATGGTGTAAAGTAACCAAACTTTCAGCTCCACCCATAACTAATTAGTGTGGTACTTTATGGTCTGCAATGGTTTTTGCATGTACTCTTTCATTTAATTATTACAAAGCTCTCTCACACTGGAGATATTTTATTTTCCAGTGACAAATCGAGCATGTACAGAAGTGAGTGATTTGCTCCAAATCCCATCTCTAGTAAATGATTGAGCCGCCCAAGAATACAGGTCTTCTAACTCCATGCATCACCACATCACTCCTTGAGCCCGCAGTTCTTCAACTGCAAACTTCCATGACAGACCGCTAATTCTCTACCAAACTGGAATTATTGCATGAGACATTCAAAGTCTCCTTGAAAGAGAAAGTGTCCTCCCTTCTCCTCCAAGCTCAAACATTCGTTATCAACCTTGCTGACATGAGGGCCATAATCTAGACACTCCGTGGAGGAAAGCTCTAAGGACTCTGCCTCCTCGATGGCTGTAGAATCACCATTTAAACAGCCTTGGTGCTCCTCTTCCTGGCTTTTTTTTTTTACTTGGGAAATAAATACATATCTTGTGTAAGTCTCCAATTTATGGATTTCTATCATTCACTGTTAAATACCTAACTGATATACCTGCCTCACAGGATTCTTATCAAGATTAGAAGATAATCCATGTCAATAGATTTCAAATGTAGATAGAATGTATTTCCCTATCACCTGAGTCCTGCTGTATATCTACATGTGTAGGTATATGTGTGTATGTATGCATGTGTGTGTGTGTGTGTGTGTGTCTATTTATAAGCTGTTATAAAGTATTTTATACAACCTCACCGTGACTTCTAAAAGTCAAGGACTTTGTATTATTACTCTCTGTGTCACAGGTGCCAAGCATACTGCCTGCAACCAAGCATCTTCATGAATTGAAAATGTACCCTGAAGGGAGTATATATAAAGTGTAAGAGTTGGTGCAAATGCAAAGACTTAGAACATCATTGTTATTTTAGGATACTGCGAACTGAACCTAAGAAAATCTAAAATAAACAAAATATCACCTTCTCCATGATTTCTGTAACAAGGAACAGTTATTGTGACTGCATGGATAAATGTTATGTATTTCATCTTAGTCATTGAACTGATTCTATTTCAAATGTAAATGTGTAATCTAATACAAACACAAAGTAATTTGAGACTAATTACTCTTTCTTCTTAATGCAGAGCAGAGAAGCAGCTCTATGATCCAAAATACTGGACAGACCATCCCAGTAACTATTTACAGCCCATGGATAGCAAAGAAAAGAAGTAGGTAACACCCACTTTAAAGAATGTCTCCGTGTATCTGGATGACTAAGCATTGGGATCTGAATTATAGCAAGCCTTCTGTATTAAAGATATATATATATTGGCTGGGCATGGTGGCTCATGTTGTATTCCCAGCACTTTGGGAGGCAGAGGCAGGTGGATGGCTTGAGGTCAGGAGTTCGAGATCAGCCTGGACAACATGGTGAAACCCCATCTCTACCAAAAATACAAAAATTAGCTGGGCATCATGGTGCATGCCTGTAATCCCAGCTGCTCAGGAGGCTGAGGCAGGAGAATCTCTTGAACCCAGGAGACGGAAGTTGCAGTAAGCCAAGAACATGCCACTGCACAGCAACCTGGGTGACAGAGCGAGACTTCATTAAAAAAAAAAAGAGAGAGAGATACATATCATATGTCCCTGCACTCAAGAAAATTAGTGTATATATCAGCATGTAAATAACCACATCCAATAAGATTACTATTGTATTGAGTACATAGGCAGAATAAAAAAGTGGCAAATGTATTTACCTGGTAAAGAAAGAGAAACTTCATAGAGAAGCATTTGAATCGAGATTTGACAGTGACGAAAGGTTTCCTTATGGACAGAGTAGGGGGACATTCCTGGAATACAGAATACTATGGGCAAGGTTTGGATTAGAGAGGGGATAAGACTTTAACTAAAAAATGTGAGAAAGCCTTGAACATTTAGGGAACCAAGTTACCAAGTTAGATCATATGATCTTCCTCTCCTGATACATGCGAAGTTTTTTCCTTGGGTTAAGGCAATCCCTAGAGATCCATAAAGTTGGGAGTTAATGGGTTTCTTGCTTATGTTAGGTACAGGCTGATAAAGGGAAGTGAGAAAACTGAAATGTTTGTGCCTCATCAAGTTTTTTCCTAAACCTGTGGTGGAGAAATATAAGTAACCAAGAAGCTCTGGTACTCTCACAGAGGCTTAATCTTCTTTACTTCTTCAGACATTTATGATGTATTCTTCCCATTCCAAATGTTTACCAGGTGTGTAAAGTCAAGAAAATCTAAATGCCAGGAGTTCAGAACAAATGGGGAAATGGCACCCTCAGAAAATGGTTAACTTTCCAGTAAGTATTTTATTTTAGACTTCTAGTGGATTTTTTAAAATTACTGTATTTCTGTATTGAAAAATTATGGCTACATTTTATAACAAATTTAAAAACAGAAGAAAATAATAGATGAAACCACCAAAGGCTCTCTGAGAAGAATAAGAAATCTAATCACCAGGCCAGAGGATACCTCATTTTGACATCAATAATTTATCCCAACTATACTTACCCCACATTTTAAACATAGTATAAATCTTTAATCTTCAGGTTTCAATAATTTAGATTTAATTCATTAGTTTACAGAAATATCCAAAATAAAATGTTGACCAAAAAACAGTTGTACACACAAGCACTTAAGAAGGACAGAAAGTTAAGGGAAGAAATCTTTTCCCCCCATTTCTTACAGAGTTGATGAGTAAGCACAGAAAATGATAAGAAAGAGTTCTGGGAAAATATTACAGAGTAGAAGTAAAAGTATCCTTTCCCTTTTCTCTGTGATCATACTTCTGCTATCTCTTTTCCAACATCTGTAAATAATTTATGTATATAAAAATAGAAAAGCAATATATTGTATATATACATATATATGTAATGTACATACAAATAAGAGAGGAGGAATTCACAAACAGCAAAGTGATCTTTCTGAGTTGAAAATGTAACTGCCCAATGTGTTCTTCTTGCCCACTGCCTAGATAGAGCTGATTCATCAAGACAGGGGAATTGCAATAAGAATACTGTACACATCAAACAAAGCAGTGCAATGGGTAAACCATTAGGACCTCTGTACAGTCACAGGGCAGTCAACCAACTTCAAAAGTGGAGCGAGGCAGGGGAAGTCTGAGGCCACTGCTCTGCCATTGAGTCACACACTGACCTTGAGTTTCTGATCTCAGCTACCCAACTGATGTCTTTATTTAGGGGAAAGTTTTATTTTTTTCTCAGAAACTAGAAGGCTAACACACAAATCAGGCCCTAGGTACTCAGTTATTGATCAGTCCAAGCTGATCAATTGTATCATTGGCTGCTTCAGTGGCACTTTCAATTGCTATCAACTAAGAAGGGAATGTAAAGCCCAAAATTGACTGGACTTCAGTCTTCAGAGAAAATCTGAAACTGGCTTCTCAGGTTTCAACATCCGTGGCCATTCCACTAACAGATACTAGGAAGATGAGATAGCAGAGCTGAAATTACATATATTGCCTTAGAAAATCAAAGATCCAGGAGAAAAGAACAATTCTGTTTTATATCTGTGACAGACATCTCAATATCTCTGTTGGCTGAGGATGTGCCATTTAGCCAGTTATAACAGCCTACTCTCATCATAACAGAGTAAGGCAGAGGTGTCATCCATAGAATGAAAGACTTTCAGACTACTGCAAACATCTACTAAGCATATTTGAAGCATAAAGGAAAACAACATGTAATTTCCTTTCAGATTCCTCTGAAGAAAACTTGTATAGGATAAAGGATTTATCTTCGACTTCTTGAAAGGATGTAATTTACAATAAAAAATTATATATTGGTGAGGTGGAATTTAGGACAAGTGGATAAAACAAATGAGACAAATTTCGACTCAATATGAGAAGCTTCTAACCTGCAAGCTGCCTACCAATGGGATGGAGATGCAGTCATTGTGCAATGTTCACGCTGAAGCAGAACGACCTTTCAGGGGTGATTTGCCCCACTTGCAGGTCATTCTCAAGTGTGATTCAGTAATGTTTTCTTCCAATCTTTAAGACTATATAATTTCCTTAAATTCCTTTGAGGAGGATCAGGTAATAAACACAAAATATTGCTCATACCTAAATGATTGCAATTTCCATTTTCACTCTGTCTCCCCTATAAATTTATTTGACATCTTTTACTATGTGAATTTAATAACATTTCATTTAACAAATAAGAACCCTGATTCCTCATCATTCTATGACCCCAATGATATGCAAAAAAACAGAAACCAACAAATGTAGTTTATATTTTAAATGCACTTGGGTTCAGTTTCAAGAGAGTCCTTGAAGTGTACTGTTGGCAGATTTGGTTTTGCAAACACACGTCTCTCTGAGGAAGGTGAACAGTAGATTGTGTTTCTCAAGAGACCCTGCTGATTTTTGTTTCCAACTGAAAAATGTAAATTCTTTTCATTCAACTCTTAGAAATTTTTTGAATTCTTCAATTTCTCACAGATGGTTCCAAACTCATTTCTTTCAGGAGAAACTTCAGAAAAAGACAATCACAGGGGACATCATTTTTTATGAGGACTAATGAGACATTGTCAATAATGTAGGCTGTAGTCCCGGGAAGAATAGCATGAGAGAAAAATTAAAGATCAACAGCATTCATTATCTTCAAAATGGTCTCTCTTCCAAATAAAAGGAACACAATTATGCAGAATAAAGTTTAATATTTTCAAATGCTGCTCAAATTTTCAAATGTAGAGATACGCTTGTTGTATTAGTCCATTCTCATGCTGCTAATAAAGACATACCTGAGACTGGGTAATTTATAAAGGAAAGAGGTTTAATTGTCTCACAGATCAGCATGGCTGGGAGCCCTCAGGAAACTTACAATCATGGTGGAAGGGAAAGCAAACACATCCTTCTTCATATGGCAGCAGCAAGGAGAAGAATGAGTGCCCAGTGATGGCATACTTATAAAACATATAAGGTTTTATAAAACCATCAGATCTTGTGAGAACTCACTATCACGAGAACACGATGGGGGAAACTACCCCATGATTCATTTATCCCCACCTCATCTCTCCCAACACACATGGGGATTATGGGAACTACAATTCAGGATGAGATTTGGGTGGGGACACAGCCAACCCACATCACTTGTTTGTGAGTCTGAGTTTATAGGCCAGAGTACAAACTGGAGTACAAATTCTGCCAATGGCAGTAGATTTTCCTTTTCAGGTTCATGTCATGCTCCCTGAATTCTGATAATCACAAAGGCCTGACCCAGGAGGAATTTTATGGTAAAGACCCTGTCTGCTGAGAGATGGTGTTGGAGAAATGGCTGCCACTCTTAGGATAGTTTACATCATCCTATTCTCCCTCACATTCAAGGAAAGAGAAAAAAAATGGTGGGTAATGATTTCTATTTTAATCATTTGGTGCAATTTTTAAATGAGGAAACCTATATTCCCCTATGAAATGCATGCTCTTTCCAAAAAACTTTTTCATCCAAGCAATACCCTGATAGACCCAGTCACTCCTGTCTTAGTCGATTCAGGCTGTTAAAACAAAGTATTATAGACTGGGTGGCTTATAAACCACAGAAATTTATTCTTATGAGTTCTGCAGACTAGAAGTCCAAGATCAGGGTGCCAGCATGGTCAGGTTCTGGTAAGGGCCCTCTGCTGGGTTGCAGACTGTTGACTTCTCATTGTATCCTACAGGTGGGAAAAAAAATATCAAGAGAGCTCTCTGGGGCCTCTTTAATCAGGGCACTAATTGCATTCATGAGGGCTCAACTCTCTCTCATGACCTAATCAACTCCCAAAGGCTCCTCCTAATACCATCAGCTTAGGGGTGAGGATTTCAAGGTATAAACTTCAGGGGATACAAACATGCAGTCATAATGCCTTATTTACAGAAAATGTGTTTGTACCTTTCCATTTTAATATAGGCAGCCTAAATATGTAAAAGAAATGAATTTAGACCTAAAAATACTCATACTTTATGGTTTAGTGATATCCCTCTATATTCATTTATTTAGTTTTCAAAACAATTCTGTAAGTAGCTTTTATGAAGTTGCCAGTGATAACAGAACACTTGAAGACTTGTCTAAGATTTAATAGCTATTAAATGGCATCACCAGAACCAGTCTCTGACTTCCTAACCCACCCTGTTTCTCTTCTAGCCCTGGGTGGAATCATAGTGTTAAGAATCAGATATGGAAACTTTCTTACCCATGTATTAATTTAGCTGATCTGAATGCTCTCCTTTAGGAAGATTTTCAGCATTTCTCTAGACTTGAAGGCTTTTATAAGGGTAAGAAACTCAAAAGTAATAAAGTAGACTCCTTTCACACTAAAAATGATTTCTGACACCATCTAGCATTCCTGTCATATTTCTCAATGTGTCCTGAGAAGTGACCAGCAGGTAAGTTAATGCTTATATGTTTCATAGGGAAGTTGGTAGCAACCAAGTAAATTGAATCCAAGTGAAAGCCTGTTTATTCATTATTCACAAATTCAAATGGTATCTTTTATGGTTGGCAGCCTATGAAACTCATTCTGGTCTCATTTCTTTTTTATTTTTGTTTATTTTCATTTCCCAAAATAAATCCATAACTTTGGAATTATCAGATACACAATAGCTTAGCTAATGATGAACTGATCTGTAAACTACAACTGTCCTCATCCTAAGTAATTATTTCACTTGAAATGGAAATGGATTTACCTTGAGGGTTGTGCAGACCCTTAGAAAAATGCAGGAGACCTCACATTTTCTCTATTTTCCAGCATAGGATGAGCTACAGCCTGCAAACTGCAACAGGGAATCATGTGGGGTGGAATCTGCACAGATGACAGTTTCACACTGGTGGACCTGACAGATGACACACTTATTAATATCATTAACACTGAGCAGCTAACTATTCCAGCCCTTCCTAAAGAATTTAAGAGTGCTCAAAATTCTGAAACCCTCTGAAACAAGGGCATTTAGAGATATGACTTTTCTAAGTATACAGGTATTGCATGGCTCATTCAAAACCCTGACCTCACACTCTTGGAAGCTGTAACTAGTTGATTTCCACTTCAGCCTGCCCTGGATTCTGAGGTCAATACTGGAGGCAGTTGGAAGGGTATGTAGAGTCCGTAAAGTGTAGTGGCATTTGCTATGGAGTATGATGGAAACAACTCATGGGTCCAGCTTTTTTTGACCATCTTCTTTATTCTGCTCCAAATCAATGCATGTAAAGGTTCCGGCTTCCTGTTCCTCTATGACTAACATCCTGAACTCCAATTTCTTCCCAAGCCCTTCCCTGCCTTACCTACCAACTCCCTCTCTATAAAAATTATGTTCTCTGTCCCTGAACAAAATATTTTTATGGCTACATCTCTTATATCAATTACTCTCTGGTACAACCTCTGCAAAATTCTTAATTAGTGATATTTCTACTTTGTTCATCTGTCCCGCCTGTCTTGTTTCTCACTACACTAATCACCTAATTTGTGACAAAACTTCAAACTCATGTCCTTTCATGCCTGAATCTAGAAGAAAAGCAAGCAAGCAAGCAAGAGCCTCTGAGACATGACTTCTTCCTTTTTCAGAGCTCCTCAAATGTCACCATAAGATTCAAGTGAAAATTCTGGGCCAAATTTTAGGTGAGATATTCAGACAACAAACATGGTTTAGTAGCATTGGGCTCCCCATTCAGAGCCTCCAGCATTTTGAGTTTGAACACAGTGGTACTTTGTATTGAACTATGGATATGATTAAGAAATAAGTAACAGTGTGTGGTCCTGTTTTTTTTCCAGGTAAATCACTTATTGCCAGGAAGCATTTCACCTGTTCAATACTTAGATGGAAGAGGGATGCAATATCCCATTTCCATCATTGACGTCTGTCAATCAACTATGACAAATTTCATAAATTATCCTCAAGCCTCTAATCTTAATTTTCTTCCAAATCCAAGAAGCAATATGATTACCACTCTTCTTTTCCTAGCGTTTTAGTGTTCCAAATAACTCCATAAACAAGAGGTACTGAAAAAAAATCTGTGTCACGGGGATATAGATCCCCTTAATGGAAATGTATACTTAACCTTGAATATTTAATCTTCAAACCGTTCAATCAACCATGAATTATCCACTGTAAAATACATTGGGCTTTGAGCTTATCTGATTTCACTTTACATTATGAGCTGATGTTATACATACCCTCCAGAGAACTGCCCTTTCCCTCCTAGGTACCTTCAGCCTCCCTGGGTCTCTTTTCTCTCTGAGAGGATGGATTTTTTGGGTGGTGGGGGTGCTTTAGATTTTTTGGCCGACCCAGAGAATATCAAAGGAGAAAGAGTCCTTGGAGATCTTCCAAATATGACTCCTCATTTCTTAGATAAGGAAACAAAGATAAGGGAAAAGTGAAGGATCCAATGCTACTCAGCCAGAACACAGATCACTCGACTCCCAACTAATTATGCCAGCAGTAGGTGCTGAGTTTCTTTTCTTTACCAGGCATTGCCCTGGGTTTTGTGAATATAAAAAACAGTCCTTGACTTCCAGCAGCCTGTGCACACCACTGCCTCCTCCTTGAAGTTCAGATGCATCATTTAAGGTATTTGCCTTAACTCAAATTATATTTTCTTAAGAAGCTTCTGGAAGCTTTTCATTTTATCAGCCTCAGAGGACAATCTCACCAGACTGAAAACTAAATGCCTGTTTACTAAGCCAAGTGGTTGAGACCTTGAGGAAGAGCAAAAGGACAACCCCCCTGAATGTGCACATTGACCTTGTCCTCCCAGCAGCCCTGCAGTCAATGGCTATGATTTAGTCTGGAGCATCTGCCAGATCCAGATTAGGGAGACCCTCCTTTTCACTTCCATAATACCCCCTGTGCTTACTTGATTTGT
The DNA here is from genome assembly GCF_000001405.40 of Homo sapiens. NCBI lineage: Eukaryota > Metazoa > Chordata > Mammalia > Primates > Hominidae > Homo > Homo sapiens. The sequence goes on along the minus strand of NC_000002.12, from coordinate 18,188,566 downwards.
GGGTATATGTATCTGTCTCTTCCATTAGACTCGAGCTTCTCCAGGATGTAATTATGCATTCTACCCATAATGCTTAGCATGGTGCCAGGCACTTAGTAGGTTCATGCTAAATAATTTTCAAATCCATTAATATTCATATATTTAAATTAGCTTGGCATGGCATGGCTAGGAAACAAGTGCTAGGAAAAGGGATTTAGAGGCTGTGAATTTGCTCTTCATCCTGTAGTTTCTCTGAAAGTGCTTTTGGCCCTGTCACTTTTCAGTCCCTACCTACAATCAGCACGTGCAGGACAGTCACCTTTTGGCAAGGAAGGCAAGTTGTCCCTCACCTGGGATCCCTGCCCCCTCTGCACCTAGAGCACACAGCTGCAGCTGTGTTTCTGCACCTGCGGAATCCAAAGCTGTGTGCACAGTCCCAGAGCAATGCAGGCAAAGTTGCACAGGAAAGAAACATTAACACATTCTGTCACAATGTAAAGTTAACTTTACATTCATGGTGGGGAAAAGTAATAGAAAGGTTTTCAAGCATAAAAGGATCTTCTACTTCAACTACAAAAAAAAAAAAAAAGAAGAAAAAGAAGAAGAAAAATGCCTCACAAACAACATCTTCCCTTGGACATCAAATTGCTCTGCTGACAGGATTCTTAATCAAAAAGTCCAAAGAAGAAAGATGAGTGGAATTTACAAAGATTCAGCCAGAGAGAATAAATGAAGACATTTGCTGTGCTTCTGTAGGTGAAAAAAAGATGGCAGATACTCACGACTCTGTTCTGGAGGCTCTGGAACTTGTTATTGGATCAATTACTCTGAGTCCCCAGACACACTGACCTGAGCAGCATCAGTGTTCCCCAGGACATGGGCTGTTATCAGTAGGATTTCCGCTGTGCATGCTGATTAGAGGAGATGGTGACCAAGAGGCCCTGAACGGTGGACAGCAGCCCCCTCTGCCTGGAAGCCTTTGATACCATGGAGCATCACCTAAGTTCTGCATTCTCAATTATAACCAAGTTAAATTACTTTATGTATTTATTAAATCACTATTTAGAAACTTACTGTGAGTCATACTTGGCTTCAAACACCTCTGCCTGCCATGAGAAAACTCTGAGCATGAAGAAAATGTTTATTTACTATAAAACTTTGGCATTTTAGGCTGCAGACATCTGTTGCCAGAAAGAATAAAGAAAGAAAATGAAGGAGGAGGGAAGAGAAGATTCAGTAACTTCTTGAGCTGGTATGATTGCCTAACCCTGTGAGGGAATAGCAGGTATTTGACGTGAGGCTCAAAATAAAAGCAATTGCATTTTGCTTCTGCTTATGTTTCTTCCAGAGTTCTTTGCAAACATTCCAAAATTCTGATGTGAAAGTCATGACACCCCACTAGGATGAATGCAGCTTTCAGCGCATAGATTATTTTCTTTTTTATTGATGCATAATGGATGTGCATATTACATAGTAGATTTTTAATCCACAGTGGTTGCTATGCCATGACTTGATTGGGTTTACAAAGCATAATTTTTCTTCCAAGTCTCATCAAATCAGCTCACTTCCTCTGGCTCCCTGATTACATAGATGTCATTATGCCAAGACTCTCAATAGGGCTGGAAAACCAACACACACAGCCCTATATATATTAACTGCCATAAGTCCCAACAAAAAGGATGATGTAACCAATAAAAAGTCACAGTGGCTCTGGCCAGCTCCTCATGGTTGGGCCTCAGCAAACTCACAGAAGGAGCAGGCTGCAAGCAAAACACTAGGGATAGGAAGATGAGTGGGACCCACGCCTGACTTGGCGAGCTCATAGCCTAGTGTGAAGAAGGGAAATGTGAACTAGACATGCAACAGATAACACCCATAAAACCCAAAAAGAATCATAACACAGGAGGGCATGTTGTGGGTAGTCCAAGTACAGGCTAAGTAATTCTGTGTGTAGTGGTGAGGTGGGGTAGTAGGAAGTGTTCTAGAAAAAAGGCAGCATTTCAGTTAGAACCTGAAATATGTGTTGAAGTTCACGTTAAGGAAAGAAGTGGAAGGGTGTTTCTATCGGTCAGACTCTCAATAGGAAGCAAATGGAAATCTCAAAATGGGATTATTTGAGAGAAGGCATTGCAAAAAGACAACTTCAAAAAGTGTGAATGAAAGAAATCACAGTAACCAAGTTAAAATGCAGTAACGCATGGCTGGTAGAAGCTGCACTATCACCAACCCTAGGCTAGAAAGGATGCAGTTATCAAAACCCAAAAAGAGGGAATCATGTAGAATTGGACACTTGGAAGGCAACAGTGACCACCTAGTCAAGGGACAAGGAAGTCTGAGGTGACCTTCTGGGGTGAGAGCTGGAGATGCATACTGTGACCTCACTCTCTTCCTTCTAATCACTTACATGGGTCACCGCATTGGCCAAGCCCATGTGGAAGCCAGAAGACAAAGAGCAAGGCAACCCACTGACATCATCCATGCAGTCCAGCCTCTCCACGTGGAGAGTGTAGTGGAGAAGGCTAGACAGTAAGTCTGGAGGGGCCAACAAAGATTTCTGTCCAGGGTTGGCCAAAGTCACAGGATGAGCAAAGACCTGACTCAGGAGAGGTTGAGCATGTTAACCCACAGAGCTGTTAGATGGGAGGTGAGACACCCCTCCTTCCCCAGACTGGAGCCAGCTGTGAAAGTCTTCACTCCAGCCTTAGGAAAGTGGCATTACCTCATCAGGTGCAAGCCGTGAGACTCCGCTCCTTGATGCTCAGTTCCCACTTTGAGCCCCACCACAATTGCGGTGCTTCCTCCTCCTACCCCTCACCCTCTCCTGCCTTGGCCCTCTTCCCCTGCTCCAAGACCTATATCAGAGATTGGTGAAGAGAGCCAGGCAGGCTGTGGATCTTAGTGTCAGTTTCCTGAACCTACTTTCCACAGCCTGGGTTGAGAGCATCATTGGGAGCTGACCCAGACCTGGAAGTGTCATTGATAACAGTAATAATATCACAGGCCTTGTTGTGTTTCATCCCTTATCTGCGGCCTCTACCCCAAGCTAGAGCCACTACATCCCAACTTTAGCTCAATCATAACTCAGATTCCATCCTGATATCAAAAGTGTGGATTTATTCTGTGAGTTCCTTCTCTGATAGTCAGCTTCCTGGTCCATTCCCTTCCTAGCTCTAGAGCCTGCCTTGCTCAGGAATCTACCCAATGACACCGCATATCAGGAGAATAAGACCCAAGAGAGACACTTTCAGGAGAAATAACACACAATAATGAAAGTGCACTATAGATTCTATACTATGTCTGGGCCAGTACTAAGCGCTAAACTACTATTTATTTTGCATTTCCACTTAAGTAGCATTTCCTTGCAGAAGCAAATTGTAGGTCTAACTTAATTATCCAACTCACCAGTCTAAATCAATTATCTTTTGCATATTCTCTAACAGAGCCAGTTTCCTTTCCTTCAGAGCCCTTATTGCAGACTGGACTACCATGCACCGCTGTACAGTTTATGTCCCGCACAACTTCACAGAACACCATTTTCATAGAATATGATATAAATGGCTCCCCTTGGAGTTGTGCAGTACACAACTTGCACAGCCATAGGCACTGGTCCCTCTCACAATGCAATCACACAGTCATTAGCATGATTTTTTAAATTAATGTCTAGCTTTCTCACTAGTCTGCAAACTCTATGAGAATCCTGGCTCTCAGTACTCATGAGACAGTGTCTAGCACATAGCTGGCACTCTATTAATGGTTAATTAATATTTACCAAAACCTCTGAAACAAAAACTTTACAGATTAAAAGCTAAGGTTCAGACAGTGTAAGTAGCGTGCCCAAGTTCAGCGTTGAAATTAGACTTCAAGTTCAAAACTGTATAGTACATGCGTTTTCCATTGTTCCATGCGATCTCCAAAATATAGTGGAATGGTATAGTGTGAAATATGGCTGGAGAAAAAAATGGAGATCAGTTAGAATGACAATTATTAAAAAGTCAGGAAACAACAGAGGATGCTGGAGAGGATGTGGAGAAATAGGAACGCTTTTACACTGTTGGTGGGAATGTAAATTAGTTCAACCATTGAAGAAGACAGTGTGGTGATTCCTCAAGGATCTAGAACTAGAAATGCCATTTGACCCAGCAATCCCATTACTGGGTATATACCCAAAGGATTATAAATCATTCTACTATAAAGACACGTGCACATGTATGTTTATTGCAGCGCTGTTCACAATAGCAAAGACTTGGAACCAACCCAAATGCCCATTAGTGACAGACTGGATAAAGAAAACATGGCACACATATACCATGAATACTATGCAGCCATAAAAGAGGATGAGTTCATGTCCTTTGGAGGGACATGAATACAGCTGGAAACTGTCATTCTCAGCAAACTAACACAAGAACAGAAAACCAAACACCACATGTTCTCACTCATAAGTGGGTGTTGAACAATGAGAATACATGGACACAGGGAGGGCAACATCACACACCAGGGCCTGTCAGGGGGTTGGGAGCTAGGGGAGGGATAGCATTAGGAGAAATACCTAATGTAGATGATGGGTTGATGGGTGCAGCAAACCACCATGTCATGGGTATACCTATGTAACAAACCTGCACATTCTGCACATGTACCCCAGAACTCAAAGTATAATTTAAAAAAAGAAAGAAAAAATGGAGATCAATTAATATGATATCAAGAGAGACTGATGCCCTACTTGACCTTCAGCTAGCACTGGCTCAGCATGAGCCACTCATGTAGTTTTTACGATCCCCAACAATTACAGCATCCTGTCCAGCCTTCCTGCCCTGTCAATAAAGAGGAAATAGTCAGATACTGAGAGAAATAAGTCAGAGTCTTGTCGTCCAATGATTTCCAACGCAACAACAGCCTCTGGCCTGCCTTCCTCATTACCTTCCCACCATGGCCAAAGAGGGCATTGCCAGCTTGGACCCCTTTGTCTTCCTTGCACACAGTCTCCCACCCTGCTGTGCCTGCTGCCTCTGTGAGTGCACTGGAGCTGCCCTGCCTCTGGCCTCTCTGCCTTTCTCTGCAGTGAGGAGGATGGAAGGCTTCTCTGTTCCTCAAAATTACAGAAATCCCCAAAAGCTCAGTTAGAGTTTATGGGCTGCCAGTAGATCCTTACAAAGCCCATTTTTCCACATGTCACTGACTCAGGAGACTCAGACTTGTAGGCACTGTGAAGTTGATATACATGATGTCAACATATCTTCATTTGTTTCAGGGATTTTCCATGATGAAGTAAAAAAACACAATTGTACACTAAGAATTTATGATGCAGTTTTTATCAGCCTCTGTGGTAAACAGTTTGCTTTTCTACATGGCTGGCTACAGACATTTTGCTCATTAACGTGCACTTGGTCTGGCAGATTTTTATATGATTTTTTTAATAAAAGCAAACAGAAACAGGTTCTACTTTAGAAATGTGCACTCAGGCAGGTACAAGTCATTTGCACAAAAGTCAATGAGCCTCTGAATGTTGAGCCCCTGAAATCCCTTTCCTCCCTGACTGCCTTTTGCTACAGCTCTTCTGAAATGAGCCATGAGCCTTGAGGCAGTGAGTCTCCAGGTGTGTGGAAATGTATGAAGCTACACTGTTGATAAGCCTCCATCAATCCCCAGGCAAGTACATTCTTAACGAGCTGAATACAAAATTCATTTTTACTAAGAAATATGAGCAACTTTTCTGATTCTTACACATTCCTTCATTGAAGGCTCTGTACAAGTATTCATCAGCATAGAATTCCTTAAAAATTTGACCCTAGGTGCACAAAGCAGGCTACTTTCTGCCTATGTAGGCCAGGCAGTGTCTGTGCATTGAAGAACACTGGCATCATATACTTGGTTCATGCAGCTCTTAAAGGAAACTATTTAATCTCTGGAAATGTTCTAGTCTGATAAAAGTTTATAGAGATAGAGTTACTCTGACCCCCCTCTAATTATTACCAAAAAATAACAGAAGGAAAAATCAATGATCCAGAACACAAGAGACTTGAGTTCCAGTCTTGGATTAGTAGTTTACTAATCATTATCACCTTGGGTAAGTTAAAACCTGCATTGGTTTCATTGCGCTTCTCTGAACAATGACAATAATACCACAACATACCTAATTATGGTTGTTTTAAGTATCGAGATAAAACAGGTAGAGAAGCTTAGGGATCTAAGAAAGGTTATAATAACCATCAGTGTTGCTCTCTGAAAATTGTGGAGTTACCACCGGATGGAAAATAGACTATGTCCTGCAGTTATGCATTTCTTTAAATATTTGGTTTTAATATGTCCTGACAACTTTCTAATAACCCCTCAAGAATCAGGTAGCACACTGATGAGCACAATGGGTAGGGAGGAAGTGGTGTAAGACAGATATGATGGCCCATTATGTGGGATGTTATAAGTGTGGTGAAGAATTTGGATTTTTTTTTTTGAGATGGAGTCTTACTCTGTTGCCCAGCCTGCAGTGCAATGGTGCAATCTCAGCTCACTGCAACCTCTGCCTCCCAGGTTCAAGCAATTCTCCTGCTTCAGCCTCCTGAGTAGCTGGGATTACAGGCACACACCACTACACCCAGCTATTTTTTTCTATTTTTAGTAGAGACGGGGTTTCATCATGTTGGCCAGGCTGGTCTTGAACTCCTGACATAGGTAATCCACCCACCTCAGCCTCCCAAAGTGCTGGGATTACAGGCATGAGCCACTGCACCCTGCCAAGAATTTGGATCTTATCCCTAGGGCAGTGGAAAGCCACCAGAGGTTTCTGGGAAGACTGAGATCTCTGCTCTGGTCTACCTGTTAAAAGACCACTGGAATGACTGTGTAGAACACATGCTGTCTTGGAAGGCTTTTGCAGGAGTGCAAGCAAAGGATTAGAATGGCTTGAAGGAAAGAGGAATTTGGAATGTGCTTTGGAGGTGAGTTGACAAAGATTTGTTGGTAGATTAGATGTAACACGTGAGGGAACAGGAAAAATAAATTACCTCTAGATGGTACTTTAGCAGCTAGGTGAATACAAATGTCATTTATTGTAATGGGGGATGCTAGAGGAAGGAATCAGTTTGGGGTTGAAATAGAAAATCCTGTCTTGGCCATGTTAATTTTGAAAAGCCTAGTAGACTTCCAACCGCCCTGAGCTACTTACTAGTGTCACCCCTGCTGATCATTGAGAATAACTGTGAAAATGAAAAAAAAAAATCATGCTTCACTGCTGGGATCTGCATCAACTTAAGAAAAATAAAAGTTCACTGGAAAGAGAGCTTAAAATACGCCACAACTTCATTACCCTTTTTTAGTTTGGGTGTCAGAAACCCAATGGCAACTTATTTTATTAAACAGAAAAATGGATTAGCTCTTCAAATGGAAAAAGTCTAAGCAACACATTGCCGGATCCAAGCACTTAAAAGACATCTCAGAAATCTGACTGTCAGTTTAGCTTTCCATATGTTATCTCCATTGTTAGGCAGGATTTCTCAAGAGACAGCTCTCACGCTGTCTCTCTAGGGCAGTGGAAAGATTGCTCAGGGTCAATTCTAATTTTACTTCTTACCAGCTTAGCAGCTCCAGAGAGAAAAGAGAAACTTTTTCCCAATAGTATCAAAATGTCACTGCCAGTCCTGAGCTCCTTACCATCTCCAGAGCAGACATCAGCTCCTTACAAACCACACAAACTGAGAGGGAATTAGAGGTGCTTTGACCAGAAAAAAAAAACTACTCTTGGATCAGAATAAATAACAGAAGGCCACTAAAAAGCTTATAGAAATAACTGAAGTTTTAACAGCAACAAAAAGAAAACATATTGTTTCATACAACTTTGCTAACACTACATAAAATTTGTGATTTATCTCACAACATATGTGACAGTAATCAAGCTGGAAGATTTATTTCATTTCTTACTCAAGAAAAGTGATTGCTGTTGCCACACACTAAAATCAACTCCATCTAAGTAAATAATCTGATGTGAAATTATGGTAGAAAAACTACTACCAAAGATCTGTCAGTTCTTTGAATGGACACCTTTCTAAATTTTGAAACAAGAAAAGAAAACAGAAAATGTCAGCTTAAGAATTTATACCTTTTAGAACAACCAAATAAAAATCCAAACAGTTGGCTGGGGAACACAGGTGCATTCAGAATTCTTTCCTGTGTCCACTCATTAACCTAACATTTGCTAAGTGACTACCCAGTTCAGGAACTGTGAGCTAGCCCAGGCTGCCAAACAAAGCAGGCAACCTCCCTTCTCCAGGTCAGACCATATTTTATTTTGATCTCCATGAAAACCTAATCTTAACACATGCAGAGAGTGAGAGGGGTTAAAGGGTTTGATTCACCCTTTGTTTCTTATTAATTTCAGAGTCCAAATATAAACCACAATGCTTTAACCCCCTGCCCAAGGGCACCTGTCTTCACCCATCAAAATAGTCTTGGGGATCCCGGAGCCAGTATACAACCAGCTAACCTGGCAATGGTGTCAGGTGGCAAAAGGATTCTCCCTGGCCTTCAGCGACACCCTGTCGTGACAACTTAAGTCATCCCCTCCAAAGAGATGAAGGTTCTTATTGTTCTTGTTTCATTCAGGGACACAGCAAAGAATGTATGATGAGACTCAATTACAATGTTCTTGGACTCTACTCCAAATGGTGGTAAAGAAGATTTTCCCTATTCTTTTATAGAAATTGCAAGTTCTCATCCCTCATTGCAACACAGGTATCAGGTAATATCATCTGCTTCCTCTGACAAGAAAAAAACTTTTGCCTGCAGGTGCTAGGGGTCTTAGCCCCATATTGGAGATTTTCTCTAGGAAATTTTGTCTAGGAAGATTTCCTGTTCTCACAACATTTTTGAGTGTCTTTAACAACATTTTTGAGTGTCTTTAATGTGTCCCCAGTCACTTCATATTTTTCTCAAGAAATTAGCAATCCTGTACAGGAGACAGACATGTAGCATATGGTAAAATATAGTGTGGTAAATTAAACAATAGACTATACATTAGTAACAGACAAGGTCTTGCTAGGTAAATAGCAAGTGTGACCAAGGAAATGTTAGTATTCAATTTTATAAAGAGGAATCTCTCTGCCTACACTGACTCATCTGGTTCATATCGAAATATCTAGATCCTGATAGACAAACCAGAAAAAATATATGAGTAGATAATTCATACCTGAGAAAGACAAATGGTAGACAAACACAGAAAATGTTCAACTTCTAACTACCAGAGAAGTAACAAGTTTGAAATGAGGTATTACTTGACACTTAAAAATGTAAATATGAGATCCAAGGCTGGTGAGAGTTGTGTTGTAATGCTTTAAAAACCCTTTTTGTATAATTTTATTTAATATAAAGAGACAAATTCAATGTCCTCAAAATTCAGCTACTGAGGATTTAACCTAAGGAAATGTTTTCAATCTATACATAAATATATTCAATAAAGAATAAGAATTATTTTAATAGTAAAAAATGGAAGTAGTTTGCACATAAATAATATTAGATAAATTTTATAGTTATTTTTCTGGTCATTAAGATTACAGAAATAAAGGCTAAATAAAAATTAAGTAAGTAAACTCTTCTGTGATTTTGATCATTCAGACACTTATCAACTGAGGGTAATTATTGGAGATTCATGGAGCTGCCACTAGAGGGAGTGCTAACCAAGAGTTGGGTCTAAGTACCATGGCATCTGAAGCATGCTGGTGTCTTAGGGGCCCAAACACAGGAGAAAGAGGAAATCAAAAGATAGTAACGGTAAGTACAGAAATTAGAAAGTCATTTCCACAGGGAATCAGAGAACTCAGAAAATAACTTAATAATTATCAAAGGTATCTCTCCCCAAGGAAAGAAATGTTTCCTGGTACCTTTCTCACTCAGCTTCTGGGAGCCCTTCATGAAGGCGATTCCTGCCAGTTGACCTTGATGTGCCATCTGTGATCTCCTTGGTTAGAGACTGTGTTGTTGGTTAGTGGTATCTTCTTCCCTCAATGAACTACTTTTTTTTTCTTACATCACCATCATTCAATGAAAAACAGTGGAATCCCTGGATAGTTAAATGTGTGCTGAAAAGAACTCTGCTAAATTATGTGGATCTTTCCAATTTGCTCCTTGGAACTTTGTGGCTGCATTGAGTGAACCAGAAGGATTATGTTTGCATAAGACAACTGCCGAGGAGGAAAAGGGGGAAATAATGGCAGGTGGAGATGGACATAGTCCATGCACAGGGGACTGCGATGGGGAAACCTAAGAGTTTGGAGGTTAGATCATTCTCTGAGAGCTAAGAAGACCGTTAAGTGTTGGAGCCATGTAAAATTGCATTTAAATGTCAATGCTCCCTTTAATTGTCAGAGCTCAGGCAAGTCACTTTACCTCTCTCTTTGCCTTCATTTCCTCCCCTGTAAAAATACTTCCCGACACTCAGAGAGATAGAAAGTAGAAGGATGGTTACCAGAAGCTAAGAAGGGCAGTAGTGGGGCACGGGGAGGGGAGTGGGGATTAATGGGTACAAAACTATGGTTAGAGACCGGATGCCGTGGCTCATGCCTGTAATCCCAGCACTTTGCGAGGCCAAGGCGGGTAGATGACGAAGTCAGGAGATCGTGACCATCCTGGCTAACACAGTGAAACCCTGTCTCTCGAGGCGGGCAGATCACGAGGTCAGGAGATCGAGACCATCCTGGCTAACACGGTGAAACCCTGTCTCTACTAAAAATACAAAAAATTAGCCGGGCATGGTGGCAGGCGCCTGTAGTCCCAGCTATTTGGGAGGCTGAGGCAGGAGAATGGCATGAACCTGAGAGGCGGAGCTTGCAGTGAGCCGAGATCACTGCCACTGCACTCCAGCCTGGGTGACAGAGTGAAACTCTGTCTCAAAAAAAAAAAAAAAAAAAAAAAATTAGCTGGGCCTGGTGGTGGGCGCCTGTAGTCCCAGTTACTTGGGAGGCTGAGGTAGGAGAATGGCGTGAACCCGGGAGGTGGAGCTTGCAGTGAGCCGAGATAGTACCACTGCACTCCAGCCTGGGTGACAGAGCGAGACTCCATCGCAAAAAACAAACAAACAAAAAATTATGGTTAGAAGGAATAAATGAGATCTAGCATTTGATAGCACAACAGGGTGACTATAGTCAATAGCAATTTAATTGTACATTTTTAAATAGCTGAAAGAGTATAATTGGATTGTTTGTAACCTAAAAGATAAATGCTTGAGGTGATGGATATCCCATTTACCCTGGTGTGATTATTGCTCATTGCATGCTTGTATCAAAATATCTCATATACCCCATAAATATATAAAATATATACACCTAGTATGTAATAACAAAAATGAAAAAAATATACCTCCCAGCGTTTGAGAATAAAAATTAACAGTAATAATTATGAAGCAATGTTTCAGATTCTTACGTAGCCTTATTGATTTACAAATGCTTGCTACAAACACCCAGCTACTGGTTTAACAGTTTATCTTATGTCTCTATTATCTTCAAATTAGAGGCCAGATCTGGATGGGTCCAGCTGGTGGGGCATGGATGACAAGGAGAAAAGAGCATCTGAGAAGGGCATATTGGCAGCCAAGTGAGATGCTGACAATGAATATATAAGACAGCTGCAGTGCAGGACTACTTAGAGTAAGAAGCAAAAAGGAGGTCATCTCAGAGTCATGACGAATGGGTCAAATTATATTTTCTTTGAGCTGATAATAAGAATGAGAAATGTGTGGTTAGGAATGATTTCTATCATAGATGAGATTTTTAAAAATTGTACTTAGCATGCTAAGTTTCTGCTTTCTGGTGTACCCATTTATGGAAATACCTATCTGTTATTGCTCCCACAAGAGGAGTCATCAGAACAGATGTTACTCTAACATTTATGAGCTGAGAGTTGGATATTGTGTTTAACTTTGATAGTTTTCATGTATCACCAAATGGAATCTCACTTTTTCAGAGTTAACTTCATCCAACACGATTCATTTTAAAAGAACAGAAATTTCCATTGTTTTTACAATTGTTGCTATTGTTTTAATTAACATTTTAATTTAAGTGGGCACATTTCACATATGGAACTCAATTCTCTTTCCAGTAGCCTAAGGGTTCTTAAACTGATGAGAAAAATCAAATCTATTTAATGTGGACAGGATTAAAGAGCTGTTACAATAATATTTTCCCAAGGGCTTTTGGTAAATTTAAAATATTAATTCTGGTTTTATCATATATATACATATTTTTTGAAATATATTTGGTAAATATATAAATTATGTTAAATAATAAATGGCAAGATGTATCTAAAAAAGGTTGTGTAGCATTAAGATTTATATAAAATGAAACATATGAAATGTAATATAAATACATACAACATAATGCCCTACATCTACTGCCCACCTACTTTGCAAACACTGCACTAGCCACTATAAGAGGAGGGTTACGCCAAATATTAAGAGGCTATTAAAAAACAAACATAATCAAGTAAGTTTGAGAAACATGAAGTTAAACAGAGTTAGAGCTCCCTTTTTAAAATTTTTTTCATAAGTTATTGGGGTACAAGTGGCATTTGGTTACATGAGTAAGTTCTTTCATGGTGATTTATGAGATTTTGGTGCACCCATCACCCAAGCAGTATGCACTGCACCATATTTGTAGTCTTTTACCCCTTGCTCCCCTCTCACTCTTCCCTCCAAGTCTACAAAGTCCATTGTATCATTCTTATGCCTTTGCGTCCTCATAGCTTAGCTCCCACATATCAGTGAGAACGTACAATGTTTGGTTTTCCATTCCTGAGTTACTTCACTTAGAATAATAGTCTCCAGTCTTACCCAGGTCATTGCAAATGCTGTTAATTCATTCCTTTTTATGGCTGAGTAGTATTCCATCATATATATATACTACAGTTTCTTTATCCACTCATTGATTTATGGTCATTTGGGTGGGTTCCACTATTTTGCAATTGTGGATTGTGCTGCTATAAAAATGCATGTGCAAGTATCTTTTTCAAATAATGACTTATTTTCCTCTAGGTAGATACGCAGTAGTGGGATTGCTGGATCAAATGGTAGTTCTACTTTTAGTTCTTTAAGGAATCTCCGCACTGTTTTCCATGGTGGCTATACTAGTTTACATTCCCACCAGCAATGTAGAAGTGTTCCCTGATCACCGCATCCACTCCAACATCTACTGATATTTTATTTTTTGATTATGGCCATTCTTGCAGGAGTAAGGTGGTATTGCATTGTGGTTTTGATTTGCATTTCCTTAATCATTAGTGATGTTGATCATTTTTTCATATGCTTGTTGGCCATTTGTATATCTTCTTTTGAAAATTGTCTATTCATGTCCTTAGCCCACTTTTTGATGGGACTGTCTTTTTTTACTGATTTGAGTTCATTGCAGATTCTGGATATTAATCCTTTGACAGACATATAGATTGTGAAGATTTTCTTCTACCTAGCTTTTCAGTGCATTCAGTGAGTTAATGCGAGTTGGAAAGCACTTAGAGAGGCCATAGTGAGTGTGCAACATTTCCCAAGCTTATTATATCATGGACCATTTCTCCCTGGAGGAGCATATTTTGGGACCAGGGTTTGGCAAATGATATACTGGGAACTCGCACTGCAAAGGATACCACAATGGTGAAATCACAGTCTCCTTCCACCGGAGGCTCATAGAGTAGATGATGAGACAAAGACCCAAATAACTATAATAAGAAGAAACTGCAAATATTCTAAGATACAAAGTTCTGAGTTCATCTCCCTGCAACATTTATTAAACATAAATGTAAGAGAACTGAGTTGATATTTTTTCAAGTTTGGATTACAAATTGTCTTTATTAGACTACCATTGAGGCAGGATATGGTGGCTCACACCTGTAATTCCAACACTTCGGGAGGCCAAGGTGGGAGGATCGCTTGAGCCCACTAGTTTGAGACCACCCTGGGCAACATAGAGAGACCCTGTTTCTACAAAAAATTTAAAAGTTAGCCAGGCATGGTGGCATGCACCAGTGGTCTCAGCTATTCAGGAAATCGAGGCAGGAGAATCGCTTGAGCCTAGAAAGTCAAGGCTGCAAGAGCCATGTTCGCACCACTGTACTCCAGCCTGGGTGACAGAGAAAGACCCTGTCTAAAGTAAATAAAGAAATGAATGAACTGCCATTGACTCTCTGCCAAGCATTTTACAAATATAATCTCACAAAAATATCTACAAGGAGAAAATTATTTTCTTTACTTTTCCTGAAACCGATGGTGAAAGAATTATAGTGTCCAGATTAGTCTTATACATCTGGTCCCCACAAGACCTAGGATTTGTTGCTGTGTCTGCCTGACTCCAGAGCTAGAGCTCTATCCATGCCCACCTGTAAAATGCTACTATTTTTCCATAAATTACACTTGCATAATTGAAGAATTACTGAATTATATGAAAGTTCAAAAATACCAAGAAATAATATTGAACCATTCAGGCAAGATCAAACGAAAATGCCTTTGCACTAAAGTTTAATGTTTAACTGTAAAAACAAAATAGAAGAAAACCTTTAAGTTCTATTTTCCAATGAAATACCTAAACAAGGAAAAAGGGAAGGCCATATTAATATAGTGATAGTCTGCTAATAGGAGAAAGAGAGAAGTAAAATGCACATATCAATGAGAGCCTAGTTCTATGTCCAGTCACCTTTCCAAACCTTGATCAAATTATTTTAATGTTTTTCACTTCTATGGTCTATTTGCTCTTTTTGAATACCAGCATCATATCTGAGTTTGGAATACCTATTTCTTTTCAGCTTATTCTCAAATAGAATAATTCATGAGATAACCTCACATATAGATTTCAAGTGTGCACTATGCCCATTTGCCTCTGCTAGGTCAGAATTTCAGTAACTTTGTTCATCAAGAGACTGGAAATCTAAATGTTAAATGTCTCCAACCACTCAAAGTCTATGCTTTAGTTTCTATGCTTCCAGTCCTGCTTCAGTTGATTAGGTTCAAAGTGGATGAAGGGGGTAAAAATTAAGGATTTGGGCATGGAAAGATTAATGGTACTTCAGTAGTCTTTACTGAATTAGAATTATAAATCTCCATTCAAAGCTAGCTTTCTTAATATGTTTGTAGCTACCACAGAGGTATTGTTTAAGATCTGCACTGGGAATGTATAAACTTCTATCCAAAATAATATGACTACAATGAGACCACAAATTCTAGTTCAGTGTTTCACACACAAACATACAAAGACACATAATCCTCTTAAAAATATGAGATTTAAAATTTTTGACCACAGCAAAGGATGTTTTATGGTTTTTCAAGCTGCCTAAATGTGAAATAAAACCAATATTAAAATATTGTAAAAAAAAAATCTAAAACCAATCAATCCGCAGTCAATAGCTTTTCGGTTCAATACTTTTCTAGAACCAGAGTAGGTTGTGGTGAAAGGAAGCTGAGAAAAAAGGGAATGAATTTAGCTTGAAAATTTGCTAAGATAACAAATTACCATATTCTCCAGAAACTTCACTGAAAATTAGCATTCTAGCCTTGATCCAGGGGAGGAAAAATGTACCACAGCTGCTTTATACACATCTATGTCTGTGTTCAGTAAAATATGTTAGGTACTTTAAATCTGCTTATGTAATGTTGGCAAACAGATATTTTCCCCATATTACAAATGTAAATGCTAATATAAAATTGATGCAAACTTTAGCTGAGGCATTATAGATCTTTGTGGTCTCCATTTCTGTGTGAATCCCTCTACATTTAGCTTCTCTGGGAGATATTTACAATCTCAGCTTCAACCAATGGGTGGCATCATGTGGCCTGCAATTGTGCCAAGGAAAATCAGCTAGAAAAATGCATTTTTTCTCCTGCTCAGTTAATTAAGAGGATAAGTAAATACCCAAAACATTGCAAAGAGCATGCTCCAAGGCTCACCTTCAACTTTACTTTTCCTGGGAAGCTGCCTCCTTCTTTTCACTTAATCTTAGCCAAAAGGCCGAGAAACGATGCTTCCTTCTTTTCTAAAGCTTTACCATTTTTCTAAAATTCTTAGATCTCTTTTTCCCCCAGACTCATTTATTCCTTATAGTCTACTCTCAAACCATTTCATGCGTGTCAGTTGTGCCCTCCCAGCTTCACTGGACATTCAAAGCTTCATCACTGTATTCTTAACCAGAGTCCTCCGTGCTACCTAGAACAGTCCTGGATGCATACGAGTCTCTGATGGCTGCTTTTTGGTTGATTCTCTACCCCAAGTTCCCTATCAAAAAGGAAGTCTCCCTACTCCTACAATCCCCACACACACATACAGAGGCAATCTAGCCTCCAGAAGAAGGTATTTCCCCATCACTTTTTTAAAATGTAGCACTGAAGTTAGATTTGGGGAGCATTCATGACGTGTCACTTTTATTTGTTGCATAGGTCACAGGTGTGTTTCATATGCTTATAGTGTGTGCACAGGTGCATACAAACACACACATTTCTTTTAGCATTCATGATGTCTAGACAGCATGTCCACCTTTGTAACTAAGCCCTGGTTTTCATCTTAAAGGAAAAGATCTTAGAAAAACACTAAACCAGAATTGTATTTTCCACCTAAAAACCATTCATTGTTTGGAAATCATCTCTCTCATCTCCCCATTCTGCTCATGATGCAAGTGCAGTCTCACGGCCTACACTTAGCTTATGGGCTCCATTCCAGACACGAGCTGACTCACCATACCCTTTCTGTTTGTAATTAATTTAAGAGAAATTTATCACACTTGAAATAACTAACAGAGAGAGCCAAAATCATTTGAACGACAGTGTTCTGGTTCTGTAGAAATAACAAATCTGACCCAAACAAAGATCAGGAATTAGGGATCCAGATGCCACATATCATCAGAGCCCTAGACCTCCAATTTTCATTTCCTGTCTTAATTTGCTGGCTGATCAAAGGAAAGTCCTCCACCCTGAACAGCCAAGAGGGTTCCTGGTATGCAGCTCAGCACTTCAGGCTCCACAAGTGGGTCAAGAGCCAGGTTCTTTTCTTGACTCCATTCCAGGGGTCAAGTGTTGCGCCCACCAGTGACTACTCAGCAAAGGATAAGAAAAAAGAAGGCAAATCACAGAGAATCTGAAGCCCGACAAATTGGAACCCATCTCTCCTGCGGCATTCAGTACCTTGCTGTAATATTTATACTGAGCTTGCTCTGTGCCAGGCATTGTTTCAAGTGCTTCACACATATTAACTCATCTAGACCTCATAACAACCCTATGAGGAAGGTGACATTACATTTGAAGGAACTGAGACACATAATATTGAAACCACATGGCAAGGGTCCATGGCAGAGGTGAGATTTGAATCCAGGCCCACTGGCTCCAGAGCCTGGCCCTTAACCGTCACACTTAAGTGGCTAAATAAATCCATGTGGTTTGGAGGAGAGAAAGCTGGTCAAATAGAGATCCAATCTCTATCTGGATCCAATCCTGTTGCAACCACACTACGAATTCAGAGAGCAGATGATAGAATTATACATTTTTAATAGCTTTCTTTGTCCAAGATAAAGACCCTTACTAGGGTATTCTTGAAAAATAATGAGGCCTTGCTCAGTTGTGGAGCCACAAGTGCTGGCTTGCATAGCACTGGCATTCCTGGCTGGCCAGGGTGGAGGGCTTTCTTCTGATAAGCCAGCAAATCAAGACAAGAAATGAATATCAGAAAGCCCAGCCCCTCTCACAGACTTCTTGTTCTCCACCTACCCTCAGGAGCTTCCATGGCCCTAGTAGGGATTGGCACCAAGCCAAGCTCAGATTCCCACCCCTCCTCTCCATTCCAAGCATGTGCACAATTGCTGTTCAGGGTGCAGGGTACAAGTGTTGATAGAGCTGGGCTTTTTCTCTTAACACGTGGCATTAGAATCCACCTAGCAGTCCATGTGGGAAAGTACTCAGGCATCACTGCAACACCTCTTAATTACTCTCTGCCTACAGCCAAAATGTCATCAAATGATGTCAGTGCAATCTCCGAACAATCTTTTCAACTATTACCCATTTTTCACCTCCTAGGCCACTGCTCTGGTGCAGGTTCTCACCATCTCTCACCCAAATTCCTGTAACAGCCTCTTTACCCACCTTCAAGCATCAGTTCAGCCCTCTAGGCCATCCTCCATACAGTATCAGGTGGCCTTTCTGAAATGCAAATTTCGTCATGTAACTCCAAGCAAAAAATTCCTGAAGTGGCTCTCACAGACCTACAGGGAAAAAAATAAAAATAAAAATTTATTAGCATAGCATATCATGCTTTTAAGTTACTTAACAATATGCTGACATTTGTAGAGTTTACAAAACATTTCACATCTGTTTTCTCACTGTATTAGTCCATTTTCACACTGTTGATAAAGACATACCCAAGACTGGGAAGTAAAAGAGTTTTAATTGGACTTATATTTCCAGATGGCTGGGGAGGCCTCAGAATCATGGTGGGAAGAAAAAGGTACTTCTTACATGGCAATGGCAAGAGAAAATGAGGAAGAAGCAACAGTGGAAACCCCTGATAAACCCATCAGATCTTGTAAGACTTATTCACTATCACCAGAATAGCACAGGAAATACCAGCCCCCATGATTCAATTACCTCCCGCTGGATCCCTCCCACAACACATGGGACTTCTGGGAGATAAAAATTCAGATTTGGGTGGGGGTATAGCCAAACCATATCACTCACTTAATCCTCCCAAGAACATGGCAGCCCCTAGCGTGCCCTGTGGCCACTCCCCATAGTGTGCTGTTTTGCCAGCTGCAACAAGCTACTTGCCATTCAACCTGTTGGTCCTGTTCTTTGCATATGCTCTTTTGCATATGCTGTTATGATTTTTAATCTAGAATGCTTTTTATATTCTCCATCTTATGAAAAAAATGCAAATCATTTTCCCCTTCTGCTGTCTCCCTTTATCCTTTGTTTCTATTAACACCTAGCACTGTCCCGCCCATTTAGCACCTTCAAAGTGCTCTCTTACCCTGTACCCAGGGGCTGGAAAACTATGTGCTGAAGACCAAATCTGACTCACTGCCTGTTTATGTAAATAAAGTTTTATTGGAACACAGCCATACTCTTTCACTTCCTGTTGTCTATGGCTACTTTCACACTATATCCAGAGTAAAATAGCTGCAACAGAGGAGGGGTCCTAAAAGCCTAAAATGTTTAATATCTGGGCCTTTACAGAAACCATTTGACAACCCTTGCTCTGCTTCACTCATGAGATCAACCTAATGCCCTGGGAGTTCCAGGAGCCAAGCCAATGGGGTTGTACTGGGACCATATGTCCCAGCTCTGGCTCCAGGCGAGCAGCCTGAGAAGCAGATTGTCCCACTGGCAAGTGGTATATTTTTCTCATGAGATTAGGCTGCCAAAATGATCCTGATACATTGATTTTAGGTGACTCAAACACATCAGACAAAAGATGAGTTTGGGGTTTTGACTTACCAACAACCCCGTCTGTGTCCTGAGCCACACGTGCAGTTTGTGTACTGCCTGCCATGCTGCTGTGTTTATGCTATGGTGCTTCCTATGGTCTACAACACCCAAGAGAAGTGGGTATGGTGGTGAGCAACACTTACCCTCGTCCCCAACCACTGCACTCCCTAAACCTGGTTCCGAGAGGAGCTTCCCACTCCCACCACAGGCTCTGCGCCACATGCCAGGCAGTCCTTTGTGAGTGGCCATTCTCATTTCTTCTGAGGGCTTTCCAGACTGTGGCTCTGCAATCCTTTGATCAATGTCCCTTCTTGCCTCTATCCAATGTGGTAACTTCATGCTCTCCCTGTTAGTTTGGTTGGTCTCTCAAGCCAGGAAGGGTGAGAAGCAGTAATTTCTAAAAGAAATAGGACCATTCTTCCTTCTGTGTATTTTCCACTGGTGGCAGTACGTGGAAGACAAGGGTATGGTCAACATTCTGAAAGAGATCAAATTCGATTTTGCTGGCAAGATGGTCGAATAGGAACAGCTCTGGTCCGCATCTCCCAGTGAGATCAATGCAGAAGGTGGGTGATTTCTGCATTTCCAACTGAGGTACATGGTTCATCTCTCTCGGAGTGGTTGGACAGTGGGTGCAGCCCACGGAGGGCAAGCTGAAGCAGGGTGGGATGTCACCTCACCCAGGAAGCACAAGGGGTCGGGGAATTTCCCTCCCCTAGCCAGGGGAAGCCATGAGGGATGTGAGGGGCTGTGCCATGAGGAATGGTGCACTCCTGCCCAGATACTGTGCTTTTCCCATGGTCTTTGCAACCTGCAGACCAGGAGATTCCCTCCAGTGCCTACAGCACAAAACTGGGCAGCCATTTGGGCAGACACCGAGCTAGCTGCAAGAGTTTTTTTTGTTTCGTTTTGTTTTTTGTTTTTTTCATACCCCAGTGGCGCCTGGAATGTCAATGAGACAGAACCATTCACTCCCCTGGAAAGAGGGCTGAAGCCAGGGAGCCAAGTGGTCTGGCTTGGCCGGTCCCACCCCCTTGGAGCCCAGCAAGCTAATATCCATTGGCTTGAAATTGTCGCTGCCAGCACAGCAGTCTGAAGTTGACCTGGGACGCTTGAGCTTGGTAGAGGGAGGGGTGTCCGCCATTCCTGAGGCTTGAGTAGTTGGTTTTACCCTCACAGTGTAAACACAGCTGCCAGGAAGTTCAAACTTGGTGGAGCCCACCGCAGCTCAGCAAGTTCGCTGTGGCCAGGCTGCCTCTCTAGATTCCTCCTCTCTGGGCAGGGCATCTCTTAAAAAAAGGCAGCAGCCCCAGTCACAGAATTATAGATAAAACCCCCATCTCCCTGGGACAGAGCACCTGGGGGAAGGGGTGGCTGTGGGTGCAGCTACAGCAGACTTAAATGTCCCAGCCTGACAGCTCTGAAGAGAGCAGCAGATCTTCCAGTACAGCATTCGAGCTCTGATAAGGGTCAGACTGCCTCCTCAAGTGGATCCCTGACCCTTGTATATCCTGACTGGGAGATACCTCCCAATAGGGGCTGACAGACACCTCATAGAGGAAAGCTCTAGCTGGTATCTGGCAGGTGCCCCTCTGGGACGAAGCTTCCAGAGGAAGGAACAAGCAGCAATCTTTGTTGTTCTGCAGCCTCTGCTGGTGATACCCGGGCAAAAAGGATATGGAGTAGACCTCCAGCAAACTCCAGCAGACCTGCAGCAGAGGGGCTTGACTGTTAGAAGGAAAACTAACAAACAGAAAGGAATAACATCAACATCAACAAAAAGGATGTCCATTCAGAGACTCCATCTGAAGGTCACCAATATTAGAGACCAAAGGTAGATAAATCCATGAAGATGGGGAGAAACCAGCGCAAAAAGGCTGAAAACTCCCAAAACGAGAACACCTCTTCCCCTCCAAAGGATCACAACTCCTCACCAGCAAGAGAACAAAACTGGACAGAGAATGAGTTTGATGAATTGACAGAAGTAGGTTTCAGAAGGTGGGTAATGACAAACTCCTTCAAGCTAAAGGAGCACGTTATAATGCAGTGCAAGGAAGCTAAGAACCTTGAAGAAAGGTTAGGTGAATTGCTAAGTAGAATAACCAGTGTAGAGAGGACCATAAATGACCTGATGGAGCTGAAAAATAGAGCATCAGAACTTTGTGAAGCATACACAAATATCAGTAGCTGAATTGATCAAGGGGAAGAAAGGATATCAGAGATCAAAGATCAACTTAATGAAATAAAGCAAGAAGACAAGACTAGAGGAAAAAGAAATGAAAAGAAATGAACAATGCCTCCAAGAAATACGGGACTGTGTGAAAGACCAAATCTACATTTGATTGGTGTACCTGAAAGTGACAAGGAGAATGGAACCAAGTTGGGAAACACCCTTCAGGATATTATCCAGGAGAACTTCCTAGCAAGTCAGGCCAACATTCAAATTCAGGAAATACAGAGAACACCACAAAAATACTCCTTGAGAAGAGCAACCCCAAGACACATAATTGTCAGATTCACAAAGGGTGAAATAAAGGAAAAAATATTAAGGGCAGCCAGAGAGAAAGGTCAGATCACCGGTAAAGGGAAGCCCATCAGACTAACAGCGGATCTCTTGGCAGAAACCCCACAAGCCAGAAGAGAGTGGGGGCCAATATTCAACATTCTTAAAGAAAAGAATTTTCAACCCAGAATTTCATATCCAGCCAAACTAAGCTTCATAAGTGAAGGAGAAATAAAATCCTTTACAGACAAGCAAATGCTGAGAGATTTTGTCACCACCAGGCCTGCCTTACAAGAGCTCCTGAAGGAAGCAATAAAAGGAACAGTTGGTACCAACCGCTGCATAAACATACCAAATTGTAAACACCATCAACATTATGAAGAAACAACATCAACTAAGAGGCAAAATAACCAGCTAGCATCACAATGACAGGATCAAATTCACACATAACAATATTAACCTTAAATGTAAATGGGCTAAATGCCCCAGTAAAAAGACGCAGACTGGCAAATTGGATAGAGTCAAGACCCATCAGTGTGCTGTATTCAGGAGACACATCTCACATGCAAAGATACACATAGGCTCAAAATAAAGGGATGGAGGAATATTTACCAAGCAAATGGACAGCAACAGAAACCAGTGGTTGCAATCCTAGTCTCTGATAAAACAGGCTTTAAATCAACAAAGATCAAAAGAGGCAAAGAAGGACACTACATACTGGTAACAGATGAATTCAACATATATCCTAAATATATATGCACCCAATACAGGAGCACCCAGATTCATAAAGCAAGTTCTTAAAGACCTACAAAGAGACTTAGACTCACACACAATAATAGTGGGAGACTTTAACACCCCACTGTCAATATTAGACAGATCAACAAGACAGAAAATTAACAAAGATATTCAGGACTTGAACTCAGCTCTGGACCAAGCAGACCTGATAGACATCTACAGAACTCTCCACCACAAATCAACAGAATATACATTCTTCTCAGCACCACATTGCACTTATTCTAAAATTGACCACATAATTGGAAGTAAAACACTCCTCAACCAATGCAAAAGAATGGAAATCATAACAAACAGTCTCCCAGACCACAGTGTAATGAAATTAGAACTCAGGATTAAGAAACCACTCAAAACCGCACAACTACATGGAAACTGAACAACCTGCTCCTGAGCGACTACTGGGTACATAACGAAATGAAGGCAGAAATAAAGATGTTCTTTGAAACCAATGAGAACAAAGACACAATGTGCCAGAATCTCTGGGACACATTTAAAGCTGTGTTTAGAGGGAAATTTATAGCACTAAATGCCCACAAGAGAAAGCAGGAAAGATCTAAAATTGACACCCTAACATCACAATTAAAAGAACTAGAGAAGCAAGAGCAAACAAATTCAAAAGCTAGCAGAAGACAAGAAATAACTAAGATCAGAGCAGAACTGAAGCAGACAGAGACACAAAAATTCCTTCCAAAAATCAATGAATCCAGGAGCTGGTTTTTTAAAAAGATCAACAAAATTGATAGACCACTAGACAGACTAATAAAGAAGAAAAGAGAGAAGAATCAAATAGACACAAAAAAATGATAAAGAGGGTATCACCACTGATCCCACAGAAATACAAACTACCATCAGAGAATACTGTAAACACGTCTATGCAAATAAACTAAAAAATCTAGAAGAAATGGATCAATTACTGGACACATACACCCTCCCAAGACTAAACCAGGAAGAAGTCGAATCCCTGAATAGACCAATAACAAGTTCTGAAATTGAGGCAGTAATTAATAGCCTACCAACCAAAAATAGTCCAGGACCAGACGGATTCACAGCTGAATTCTACCAGAGGTACAAAGAGGAGCTGGTACCATTCCTTCTGAAACTATTCCAAACAACAGAAAAAGAGGGAATCCTCTCTAACTCATTTTATGAGGCCGGCATCATCCTGATACCAAAGCCTGACAGAGACACAACAAAAAAAGAGAATTTCAGGCCAATATGTCTGATGAACATCGATGCAAAAATCCTCAATAAAATACCGACAAACAAAATCCAGCAGCACATCAAAAAGCTTATCCATCACGATCAAGTCAGCTTCATCCCTGGGATGCAAGGCTGGTTAAACATATGCAAATCATTAAATGTAATCCATCATATAAACAGAACCAATGAAAAAACCACATGATTATCTCAATAGATGCAGAAAATGCCTTTGACAAAATTCAATACCCCTTCATGCTAAAAACTCTCAATAAACTAGGCATTGATGGAACACATCTCAAAATAATAAGAGCTATTTATGACAAACCCACAGCCAATATCATACTGAATGGACAAAAGCTGGAAGCATTCCCTTTGAAAACCAGCACAAGACAAGGATGCCCTCTCTCACCACTCCTATTCAACATAGTATTGGAAGTTCTGGCCAGGGCAATCAGGCAAGAGGAGAAATAAAGGGTACTCAAACAGACAAAGAGGAAGTCAAATTGTCTCTGTTTGCAGATGACATGATTGTATATTTAGAAAACCCCATCGTCTCAGCCCAAAATCTCCTTAAGCTGATAAGCAACTTCAGCAAAGCCTCAGGATACAAAGTCAATGTGCAAAAATCACAAGCATTCCCATACACCAATAAGAGACAAACAGAGAGCCAAATCATGAGTGAACTCCCATTCACAATTGCTACAAAGAGAATAAAATACCTGGGAATCCAGCTTACAAGGGATGTGAAGGACCTCTTCAAGGAGAACTACAAACCACTGCTCAAGGAAATAAGAGAGGACACAATCAAATGGAAAAACATTTCACGCTCATGGATAGGAAGAATCGATATTGTGAAAATGGCCATACTGCCCAAAGTAATTTATAGATTCAATGCTATCCCTATCAAGCTACCATTGACTTTCTTCACAGAATTGGAAAAAACTACTTTAAATTTCATATGGAAGCAAAAACAAGCCCGCATAGCCCAGACAATCCTAAGGAAAAAGAACAAAGCTAGAGGCATCATGCTACCTGACTTCAATCTGCAAGGCTATAGTAACCAAAATAGCATGGTACTGGTACCAAAACAGATATATAGATCAATGGAACAGAACAGAGGCCTCAGAAATAACACCACACATCTAAAACCATCTGATCTTTGACAAACCTGACTAAAAGAAGCAATGGGGAAAGGATTCCCTATTTAATAAATGGTGTTGGGAAAACTGGCTAGCCATATGCAGAAAGTTGAAACTGGATCCGTTCCTTACACCTTATACAAAATTAACTCAGGATGGATGAAAGACCTAAATGCAAGACCTAAAACCATAAAAACCCTAGAAGAAATTCTAGGCAATACCATTCAGGACATAGGCATGGGCAAAGACTTCATGACTAAAACTCCAAAAGCAGTGGCAACAAAAGCCAAAATTCACAAATGGGATCTAATTAAACTAAAGAGTTTCTGCACAGCAAAAGAAACTATCATCAGAGTGAGCAGGCAATTTACAGAATGGGAGAAAATTTTTGCAATCTATCTATCTGACAAAGGGCTAATATCCAGAATCTACAAGGAACTTAAACAAATTTACAAGAAAAAAACAAACAACCCATCAAAAAGTGGGCCCACGATATGAACAGACACTTCTCAAAAGAAGACATTTATGTAGCCAACAAACATTTGAAAAAAAAGCTCATCATCACTGGTCATTAGAGAAATACAAATCAAAACCACATTGAGATACCATCTCATGCCAGTTTGAATGGTGGTCATTAAAAAGTCAGGAAACAACAGATGCCGGAGAGGGTGTGGAGAAATAGGAACGATTTACACTGTTGGTGAGAATGTAAATTAGTTCATCCATCGTGGAAGACAGTGGGTGATTCCTGAAGGATCTAGAACTAGAAATACCATTTGACCCAGCAATCCCATTATAGTGTTTATACCCAAAGGATTATAAATCATTCTACTATAAAGACACATGCACACATACATTTATCGCAGCACTGTTCACAATAGCAAAGACTTAGAACCAACCCAAATGTCCATCAATGATTGACTGGATAAAGAAAATGTGGCACATATACACTATTGAATACTATGCAGCCATAAAAAAGGATAAGTTCAAGTCCTTTGCAGGGACATGGATGAAGCTGGAAACCCTCATTATGAGCAAACTATCACAAGAACAGAAAACCAAACACCACATGTTCTCACTCATAAGTGGGAGTTGAACAATGAGAACACATGGACATGGGACAGGGTGGGGGCATCACACACTGGGGCCTGTCGTGGGGTGGGGGGTAGGGGAGGGATAGCATTAGGAGAAATACCTAATGTAGATGATGGGTTGATGGGTGCAGCAAACAACTATGGCACGTGTATACCTGTGTAACAAACCTGCACATTCTGCACATGTACCCCAGAACTCAAAGTATAATAAAAAAAAAGATAGAATAAAATAAAAAAGAAAGAGATCAAATTATAGGAGGGCAGTGATTAAGACATGCTTGTAAAATGTATCATTCTATATTTGTGCTAAAATTCCAATATGCAAATTTGACATGACAGAAAACAAATTATCATTCACATTGTTTGGCATTATTTGAGTGAGACTTGCATTGGTGATCGTCATCAAAAGTGCTCAGTACCAACCTTTATGAATCACCACTAGCCAGTCTTCAGAAACAGCACAATGGATGGATGAGGCAGTGTCTGCCATGAGTAACGATGGGTCCAAGTCCTACATAAACTGTATTAGGAAACTGCAGAGATAAAATGTTCTGTATTGTTTCAATACAAGCATATTCTGAAGAGTCACGGCATGGTGACTAACAAGAGCATCGTTGTCTTTTTCTCATGGTTGGAAGATACAAAATCAGCCCGGAATGGCACATTTGACAAAGAACTTGAGGAGTCAGTTCCTAGATGGAAGAGAAAGAGATGGTGCATGGAAATGAAGAAGGATCTTTACAAGCACTGATTGTACAATAAAAAATATGTAAGTACCTTTTGCCTACTGATAGTTCAAATTTTTTATCAATAAACCACTGGATCTAGCATGGGACCATTAATTTTTAATACATTTTTTATCAAATTGTTTATATAGACAGTGGCCTCACAAAATAATTATTTGCATGTGCTCACTCTGAGGTGATCCTCTGGCCAGGGAAATGTCATACTCTGGTAGATCGGGGTAGGTCAAATGTCCTAAACCCAGGCCAGGAAAGTGCAGTCAACTGCATCCAAATTGCAGAGACTGAGAGTGAGAAAGGAGTAGTTTCTCAAAAGAAAATGAAGCTACTATTCCAGGGCTGGGAAAACAGACCAAGCACAAGCTAAAATCAATAGATGTTCACCCCACCCCATGTAGGGTGAGTTAGTGTCATTTCTCTCCTACATGAGAAACCAAGAATGGACAAGTTGGGCCATTTGTCCAACACTCCATAGCAAGTCAGTCAAGAGACAGGACCTAAATTAAATCTAACAAATTAACTCTGCAACTAGCTGAGATCATCTACATTTGGCAATCACTGATCAAATCCAGGGCTTTAGATCTGGCAAGGGCTTGGTGTCAGATGTGGAGTAATTCTAGCTCCTTCATTTGCTAGTTGTATGATATTGAACAAATTAACCTCTCTGAATCTGTCCCTTTAGGTATAAAATTTGGAATAATAATAATGCCCTTGCAGCACTGACATTATTATTTAAAAACAACGCACATAAAGAATTAAACCTAGTATACCATTAACAACTGTGGCAGATATAAAGGATAGATATTATTGTATTTTATTTCTTTTTAACAGACTTGAAAATATCATGTCCTATGTGCCAGATGCTGTTCAAAATGTATCATGAATATTAACTCATTTGATGAGGTAGTGCATCCTCATTTTATAAATAAGGAAACTAAGGCCCAGAGATTTTTAGTGACTCACTCAAGGTCACAAGCTAATGAATGGGTGTCAGGCTTCAAACCCAGGCAGTCTTTCACTGTCACTAAACTCCACTGTCTCCAAGGAAAAGGTAGTTATTATTATCATTCAATAAGTGGTAGCATTTTATTGCCATTATTATTATAGATGAGAAAACTGAAATCTAGGGGCATTAAAATAGAAGTGAAGCTAAAAATAAATCCTGGGTCTAATGCTTCCCAGTCCACTGCCCTTTAAATCTGCTGCACCATTTCCTACTGAGAAGAGAATTACATAAAGGAGAAGTAGTAAGATCATGTATCTTCTGACAAATGAGATCTTTTACGCAATATATCAGGTATTATCAGGGAGAACAAGATTTTTTGTTCCATAATAGACTCTAATTGTGTGTAAAGCAGAAGGAAAAAGTGAGTGAACGTTTCCTTGTTTCTGGATGGAAACAAGAAACACTATAGAAGTTCAAAGTTCCCATGGGTTTGAGAGTCACAGTGCCAGTTCATAAAAACAGCAGTATCATGATTCCATTTCAAAAGCACAAACGTGACTCCAGAGGATTGTTAATGTCTGAAGAGGATTAAAGAATGTGCTGTGGAGAAGAGGCTGCAGTTTTGGAAGTTAGTGTCGGTCCTCAGATCTCTAGGGAGACAGTTGTAGCAGTGCAGCTGCTTCCTTGAGATTGAGATGAAGGAGTCACAAACTCGACGCAAAAATCCCCAGGGCCAGGCCCGCTTTCAGTATTTTCCTAGAGTTTTACTTCTGCCTACTCTGGAGAAACTCCTCCTCCTCTGAGGCTCATTTAGACTATGGTATAAATCAGGAGTAGGTAAACTTTCTCTAAAGGGCCAGATACAAGTATTCCAGGCTTTGAGAGATCTACAATCCTGGTCCCAGCTACTCAACTCTGCCATTGTAGCAACAGCTCCCATGGACAATGCATGATACAATCAAGAGTGGCTGTGTTCCAGTAATCCTTGTTTACAACACAGACAGTGGGCTCGATTTGGCCTGTGGATTGTAATCCCCTGACGCCTGGCATGAATCCTTTTCCCATGTGGATTCTGCCCACTAACTCCTGAACCTCCTTTCATAGTCACCAGGAGCTTTCTTGCTGGGCTCATGGTCATTAGTCTGAGACTCCACTACACGCCAAGCACTAGGCTTCCCTCCTTCCGCAGCGATGACCATCAACACCACCCAGTGTCTTGACCCACTCAGGTTCATTCATTTCCAATACACCTTAAACACTCACCCCGCAGTACTGACAGTAACCAGTCATTTGGCCTGTGATTCCTAAACTACCCCAGTCTGGTCACAAACCCTGAACCTTCCAATTTCCTTACTTCCCACTTCATCTTTCCAATCCCAGCATACTGTGCTGCTCTGTCCAACACAGTAGTCACTACTACATGGGACTGTAGAGCATTTAAAATCTGATTAGTATCAATTGGGATGTGCTGTAAGTATAAAATACACACCAGATTTCTAAGGCTTAGTATGAAAAAAAGAAGAGAAAATATGTGATTAACCAATTTTATATCAATTACATGTTTAAACTATATTTTCGATATGTTAGCCAAGTAGAGTATATGATTAAAATTTATATAAACTCTCTTATAATGTGTTGTAGAAAATTTTAAAATAGCTGCATGGTGGCTTGCATTTGTGACTTGCATTAAATTTGTATTGGGCAGCACTGTCCTAGATGTCTCCCTTTTTCTCCAAATCATCAGGCCACACTCATCTGCTCCACTGTTTCCCTGTTTATCCTAGGACCTATGACATGTCACTGCAAACACTTCTGCACGAGGACCTCAAAGCTCTCACTCCATTGTTCTTCTTCCATAGTTACCATACTTACCCACTGCAAAACAACCAGCCACCATCTGTGCTTTTGCAATGTGGAGCACTAGAGAATTAAAACTGCCCAGCTCTGCAGAGAATTGAGCCATCTCAGGATCACAGCTTTGACCTGTATTGGACTTGTAGTATGGCCAGTTTTTTCTTTCTCTTACTCCATGTCAGCATCAGCTTTTACTTTGGATAGTCTCTAATACTCTTTCAAATCATATCTCCAGCCGTTTTCTTACAGCAGTACTCCAGTCTAAGACACACTGACTCCCCTCTTCAGTTCACAGCTCCAAATCCTGTATCCTTCCTACAAGGCCCAGTTCAAATTTCTCTTAGGCAGTGAAGTCCTCCCTGTTGACTGCAGACCATGAGTTGGCCTGCTCTGAACTGCTACAGCACCAATTCTCTGCAAGATGTATTTGGATCCTTGGGAAGCAAGTTATTCCTTTATACCTTTCCATGTGTACATCTTCGAGAAAACTCAATTGCTAATCCCCTGAAGGTAAGGGCTTCTGATTTACATATTCATTGGCTGGTCAGAATGCAGAGGACAAAATAGAAGTCCAGAAAGACTGATTTGTCAAAATAGTAGGGCTGGATTCAAAATATGTTTAAGAAATGTAGTTGACACAATATGCAAATCAAAAAGCAAGTAGAAAAAAATACAGAGGTGGGGAGTGTCTAGTTCCATTAAAAATATCGAACATGGTCCCAGGACTGTTGAGGGTGTGGAATTGAAGTTGTCATGCCACTAAAAGCCTGGCTTAGAAGACAATGATGGCCTGGAGCCCTGACACGGGAACAACTTTTCAAACATCTCAGTCCAAGGAATCTAGGATCTCACTTACAAAAGCATTAGTCCTCTCACTCCTGCTGGTAGGAGAGTAAGTCGTTAAAACCTTTCCAGAAACTAATAGGTCCATAAACAGCCTTACAAATGTTCAGGAGTTTTATTTCAGGGAGTCCATCTGTTTTTTTTTTTTTTTTTTTTTTTTTTTTGAGACGGAGTCTCGCTCTGTCGCCCAGGCTGGAGTGCAGTGGCACGATCTCGGCTCACTGCAAGCTCCACCTCCTGAGTTCACGCCATTCTCCTGCCTCAGCCTCCAAAGTAGCTGGGACTACAGGCGCCCGCCACCATGCCCGGCTAATTTTTTGTATTTTTTAGTAGAAACGGGGTTTCACCGTGTTAGCCAGGATGGTCTCGATCTCCTGACCTTGTAATCCACCCGCCTCGGCCTCCCAAAGTGGAGATTCTATCTTAAAGAAATACTCAAGTATACAGACAAAGATTTATGTGCAAAATGTTCATCAAAATAACAGTGAAAACTGAAACAAACTAGAACTTCCATATTAGGGGAATAGCCAGCAAACCATAATATATGCATGTAAAGAATACTGAAGATATGCATAAGGAAAGACTCAAACCTAGTTAGTAGATACTTATATGAGCCTGAAAAAAACACAGGATGCATACTAAGTCAGTTACCTGGGGAAAAGGTGATGTGAAGAGAGGAGGCAGTGAGGGTGAAAAGAGAAGGAAATGAGAGGTGAGCAAAATTAACAAAGAACCCTGAATTCCCAAAAAAAGTATGTATAATATCATATTATTGATATATTTTTGATATATATAAAAGTATATGTGTATATATATATATATATATAGAGAGAGAGAGAGAGACATTTTTAAAATAAAAGGTCACAAAACAAGAGTAAAGAAAATCATACAAAAAGTAAGTAGGAGTTGTCCTGTATATTGGAATTATTAATAAATTTTTCATTCACAATTTCTGTATTTTCCAAATTTTTGACAATGAGCATGTATCATGTTGATAATAGAGCTAGAAATGAATAAAAGAAAACTAAGTTAAATCAGATATGAACCCAAACCATGCCCATTCTTTCAGTATACAGAGAAGCTAAAATCAGCCATAATTGGAATTATCTCCAAGAAAGCAAAACTTTTAAACTGTTTATAACTAGTGATCCCTAGAAATAATATGATCTTCCAGAGGTTCTGGCATTTCATAGTACTCTACTGAGCAACAGATTTAAATAATGTAGATTTTACAATTAAAAAAAACCTTTTTTATTTCCAGTAAATTAAAGGGGAGTTAAGGAATAGAAGCAGGGCCACTCTGAGCAGTGTGCTCAGCTAGAATCCAGTCAGCCCCCACCCTCCCTTGACTCTGACAGCCACCAGTATTCTGTTCTCTTGGCCACAGTGGACACAGTGAATGGGTCGGAAATCACAGCCTGGGGCAGTCCAGGCAACCTTCTCCAGCAGATAATGGGACTTACACACAGCTCTGACAGGGACTAGCAAGGCCCCAAGGCTCTCAGCTCTCACTGGAGAACCTGAAGTCAGTTCCAGAAGGGGAAGACTGAGGCAGCCTAAATTAGATTCAAATTGCTCTGATTTCATATCCTTCTTAAAACATTCAAAACCAAGAGTTCCGAAAGTATGGTGCCCAGACACGCAGCATCAATATTATCTGGGAACTTGCTAGAAATGCAAGTGCTTGGCCCCACCCTAGACATGCAAAATCAGAAACACTGCAAGTGGACCCATCAATCTGTGTTTTAACAAGCCCAGCAGGGGATTCTGGTGCTTGATAAAGGCTGAGAACCACTAACGTGGTTTGGTGGCTTTGGACAATTTCCTAACCCCTCTAAACCCCAGTTTTCCTCACTGGCAAACTGAAGATAATAAAACCTAACCTCAAAGTCCTGTAAGGATGATGGATGTAAAGCACACTGCACAAAAGAACACTCAATAAATTACATCATCGTGTTCTCCCTCAGGACTCTTAAAAATTCTATACCCTCTCTGCAAAATTTCAACTTTTTTCTCTTTAGTACACTTAATTCTTTGCCTGATGGAAACAAGGAATAAGCATCTCTGTTAGATTGAACAAAATAATATATTGGACACAGGTAAGTAGATAGAACATCCTGCTAAGAATATTTCATTTTACGAAAGAAAGTGGTATGATAAGGTGGAAAGGACCCTGGACCAGATGTGAGGAAATTGTGTTCCAGCTCCAACTCTGTGTGTGTCGAGAAATTTGGAATTATGTAACCCAGGGTTCAAATCCTACCTCTGCCATCACAGTAACATAGCGGGTATGTTTCGAGCACCTCACATGCTCCTGCACATCACACTGCTGGTCAGAATGTATGAGGTGGCACCTGTTTCCTGCCCTTTATCCTATTTGTTAATCTTTGTAAGGAGGAAAAAGATAATGGGCAGGTTTTATCAGGGAGGTATTGTCCCCTACACTCCTCTCTTTTCAGGTGGTGCTTTTCATCTTAACTCCTTTTTCCCGACTTTCCTGCATGTGACGTCCATCAGCTTTGCAAATGGCAGGCTTGCCCAAAGTTCCTCTGCTCCCCAAATTCAAACATCAGGGAATGTCCCTGCCCCTACACAGCTTCTATCAATCAGAAGGACAGCTGTACCCGATACTCAGATTAACCAGTTAAAATCATGGTCAGAGACCTTTAGCCTTCAGTGGCAGTTTTCTGTTCTCCAGATACTCTACAACTGGCCCAGATGCCGCATCGTTGAACATTCATGACTATGTTTGTGACAAGAAATGGGCACGCTCAGTGGGACTCTGCTGTCACCAAGGCCATCATACCCCTAAACCCCATCTTCACTGATAGGAATAGTTGTCCCTGGTGCATTCATTCCCTACAGCTGCTGTAACAAAGTACCACAAACTTGGTGGTTAAAACAGCACAATGTTCTGGGGATCAAAAGTCTCATATCAGTTTCAGAGGCCTGAAATCAAGGCACCTGCAGGGCCCTGCTCCCTCTGGAGGCTCCAAGGGCAAATCATTTCTGTGCCTTTCTCAGCTTCTAGAGCTGCATTTCTTGCATAACTGGCCTGTGGCTCCTCCCTCCATCCTCTAAGCCAGTGGTGTAGCATCTGACTTCAGTCTTCATGTTGCCTTTTACATCTTGTGATGGTTAATATAGAGTGTCAACTTGATTGGATTGAAGGATGCAAAGCATTGTTCCTGGGTGTGTCTGTGAGGGTGTTGCCAAAGGAGATTAACATTTGAGTCAGTGAACTGGGAGAGGTAGACCCATCCTCAGTCAGGGCGGGCACCATCTAATCACCTGCCAGCACAGCTAGAATAAAGCAGGTAGAAGAACGTGTAAAGACTAGACTGGCTGAGTCTTCTGGCCTTCATCTTTCTCCTGTGCTGGACGCTTCCTGCCCTTGAACATCAGACTTCAAGTTCTTCAGCTTTTAGACTCTTGGACTTTACACCAGTGATTTGCCAGGGGCTCTCGGGCCTTCAGCCACAGACTGAAGGCTGCACTGCCGGCTTCTCTGCTTTTGCGGTTTTGGGACTCATACTGGCTTCCTGGCTCATCAGCTTGCACATGGCTTACTGTGGGACTTCACCTTGTGATTGTGTGAGTCAGTCCTCCTAATAAACTCCCCTTCACATATTCATCTATCCAATTAGTTCTGCCCCTTTAGAGAACCATGACTAATACACACCTGTAGTCAAACTTCTCTCTGCCTCCCTTTTACAAGGACAATGTGATTCTATTTAGGGCCTATCTGGATAATCCAGGATAATCTCCCCATCTCAAGATCCCTAACTTGATCACATCTACAAAGTCCCTCTTGCCAAAAAGGTAGCATTTGTAAGTTGCAGGAACTAGGACTTGGATATTGCTGGAGGCCATTAGTCAGCCAACTACATTTGGTAACAAATGTCTGTTCTGTTAAAATGAGAAATCTCCTCTCCATTAAGTGACAAGTAGTTGTGAATGTTACTTTTACTTCCACTGAGTCCATAAAGGGGAAGCTTTACACTCTTGGCTTCCCATGGTAAAAAACATTCCTTAACATCTGGGCAGGCTTGAGTGGCAAGGCAGGTGCAGCCCTTTCCCATCTGCTCTCATGCCAGGTTTTCTGCCTTGAAAACAGGGTTAATGAAGCCTTGTCACAGCAAACAAAATTAGACAATGTGTCATAAGGACCTATTCCAGGGCTTGTAGACAATAAACACTGTCTCTCTCATTTGCCTTCCTGGCCTCTAATTTCTGTCTGTTGAAGACAGAGGTTGTTCAAGATGACCTCTAGGACCCAGCAGACCTGACACCGTGTCACTATAACCCCTCAGAAGATGGGGATGCCTTGCCCCTCTGCCCTCATTCTTTACAAGACACAATACATTGCCAGCCTGGCCCCTTCTATATTCCAATTGCACCTGTCACAGGGCCTGAGGTGACATCCTTCTTTCCAAGATCATAGGCTGACTTCTGTGTTAGCCTTCTTCTCTCTTTTCCTTTCTTCTCCTTCCTCCTCTGATCTTCTAGTCTCAGAAGTATTTGAAAGAGGAAGAGTAGAGATCTCTACTTCCATTCTTACGAGGGTTTTAAAAAACAAATTTTAAATGAAAAATCAACCAGCTTGAATAGGTAGATTGGCCGGCTAGAGATATGTTGTGTTTTTGCTTTGTTCTTTTTTCTGCCTTTCTGCTGATGCAACTCAAGCTATTCATAATTTTGGAAACTGATAGCACACACTTCAACAGAGAGACTACAGTGAGGAACAAATCATTTGTATTAAGTTGCATAAACTCTATCTTCCAGAACATCATCCTTATCTGTCCTCACAACGCTCAAGCTTAACTAGATGCTGAGGATCTTCTGGCTGCAAGGGATGAAATCAGGGCTTACCATATATTTCCTACATATCAAAAAGATACCTACACTCATAAGTCTATTGCAGCACTATTCACCATAGCAAAGATATAGAATCAATAGATTAATGGATAAAGAAAATCTGGTACATATACACAATGGAATCCTACCCAGCAATAAGAAAGAATAAAATAATATTCTTTTGCAGCAACATAGATGGAACTGGAGGCCTTTTTCTTAAGTGAAGCAACTCCAAAACAGAAATCCTTGTAATCTTCAATCCTGCCACCTAAATAACATGATCCTCATTTGTAAATGAGGACACAAGACTCAGAGTCATTAAAATACTTGTTCAGGACCCTACAGCTTAGTAAATGCAACATATGAATTGCTGTGGGTGCAAAAGCAGCAGATGGAGAGTCACAAGGCCAAGGCTCCACTCAGCTTCCCCACTCAGTCAGTGTGTGGCCATAGGAAGACCACTCTCCCTTTGGGACCCAGTTTTCTGTTCTGACTTTGCTCAGGGTGATCTCCAGGTCTCCTTCATAACCAGGGCTCCACAGTTATAATTCTATTATGATATGATGCAAACACAGAAAGAGAAAGGAAAAAAACACAGATCTACCTCAGGAACCCTCAGAAAATTTTTACTATGCATATCCCAGCCACCTCCCAGGGGATCTAGGGGAAAAAATGATTATACGCTATCTGCCTCCTAGGCTCAGAGGTACTAGGAGTATTTAAGGCAATAGGAAAATTAAAAGAAGGAAGGTTGAGAATGAAAATGTTGAGAACGGAGAAGAGAACAGAGAATAGAAAGGCCAAGAAACATGAAGAAAGGCCTTTACCAGGTCAGGGAGAGCCTGCAGCCCTGGCTACTCAGAACCCTCCCTAGAGCTAGCAGTGCTCTGACCTTAGAGCAAAGTCAGAGGTGTCTGTCTGGGTCTTCTCATGCCCATAAACAGGCATGCACACATATACACACATACACATGCACACAATCATAAAGACATTAATTCTATATAAACAGATTTCATATTAACTGGCAATCTTGTTTCTGAGACATGCTTTACAAATGATAGCAAAATGCATTTGTAAATTCTCCATGGGGGCAGAGCACTCTGTCCCTGGCTGCAGCAGTGGCAAATCAGACTGTGTCAAGAGAAGGCCTTGGTCATGGTAGAGTCGCCCAGCTGCCCAGGCCACATACACTCGCACCCTCCTCCCTCAGATAAGCAGGGACCTGTGACCTGCCTTCACTGGCTATCATGGAGAGGAAAATAGGAAGTGGGCAACCCATTCACCACATTAGGAGTGAGAATAGCCATGTTGACCAGGGTAGGGCTAAGTTCATGTTAAAGATCCTGTATGAGTTTGCTGGGGCTGCCTTAACAGAGTACCACAAACTGAATGACTTATACAAGAGAGATTCAATGTCTAAAGGTTCTGGAGGCCAGAAGTCCAAAATCAGGTTGTCGGCAGGGCTATGCCCCCTCTGAAGGTGCTGGGGAAGGGTATGTGCCAAGCCTCTCTCCAACCTTTTGGTAGTTCCTTGGCTTTGTGGCAGAATTCTAATCTTCACATGACGTTCCCCTGTGTGCATATCTCTGAGTCCAACCTTCCCTCTTTAATAAGAACACCAGTCATATTGGATTAAGAGTCCACCTCCTTAACTAATTATATCTGAAATGAGCCTTGATATGGTTTGGATCTGTGTCCCCACACAAATCTCATATTGCATTGTAATCCCCGGTGTTGGATGTAGGGACTGGTGGAAGGTGATTGCATCATAGAGATGGATTTCTCATGAAATGGTTTAGCACCATCCTCTTGATGCTGTTCACAAGATGGTGAATGAGTTCTCACGAGATCTGGTTGTTTAAATGTGTGGCACCTCTCCCTTCACTCTTTCTCTTGCTCCTGCTTCCACCATATGAGACATCTGTTGCCCCTCTGCTTTCCACCATGACGAGAAGCTTGATGGGGCCTCCTTAGAAGAAGCCACTGTGCTGCCTGTACAACCTGTGGAACCATGAGCCAACTAAATCTCTTCTTTTTAAATTATCCAGTCTCAGATATTTCTCCACAGCATTGCAAGAACGAACTAATAGAAGCCTGTTTCCAAATAAGGTCACATCCTGGGGTACTGGGGGTTAGGACTTCAACATCAATAATTTTAGGAGGATCCACTTCAACCCATAACAAATACCTTCCAAGGAATACAAACCACAACCCAGTTCTCTAACATAGGAAATAGAAGTTGCACTGGCTGATTTCTAAGGGCCATTTCAGCAGGATCATTTTACAATTTTATCTGGAGGCAGAATTCTATCACAAATTCTGCATATTACAATTATGTGGAGAAGCTTCTGAAAAACACCATCTCTGCCTTAGACCAATTAACCAGGCTTTCTAGGGGTGGGTAGAGTCTGGACATTTTAAGCCCCTAAGTGATTCTAATACATTTTGAGAACTACTTGTCTATAATATTTCCCAAGAACAGGCTGAGATTACATGGTAGGAGTCCAAACTATCATCCCATGCAAAATACACAAACTTAACCTTTTTCCACATAGGAATATATATAACAAAAGTAGTCACAAATGCTCATTATAGATAAGAAAGTAGCTATAATTCTGAGGCCAACCCCTAGAGTTTCAATCAAAATTCCTATTTTAGTGATAATGTGGAGTAGGTATCACTTTTTAAGACTCTCTGGCTGAGTTTAGTCTCCTTTGTCCTCGCCTGTTTCCTGGTAACGTAACATTGGTCCTATGTCCCTTTGATTGCATTTTAATTGACTGTCCTCCCCATAGGCAGTGTGCTCCCTAAGGGTTAGGTCTGTGCCTTAGTCATCATTCTAACAATTATGCCTGATACATGCATAGGAGATATTTTTGCATGAATAAATGAGTGAATTAATCAATGTGAAGACTCAGGATGGAAAGTTCAAAGCAAGAAAATTGCTTTAGTCATTTGGAAGCTTAGTCCTTTGGACTATATTGCTATAGTCATTTGGAAGAATAGCATATTTGCCATTTTGCCAATAAAGTGTTTATTTAATTTTATGACTTTGATTGAAACAATCCTCATTTGACACCAAAGTTAAGAACATAGTGAGTTCTGCTCTCTTCTTGTAAGACTATGGTTTCTAGCAAAAATACTCTACAAAGCAAATGAGTCAAGGCATCAGACACTTTTTCTAGAGACTAGTAGCTTTCTCCTTTGGAAATAAAGTAAGACCTCAGAGATTTATGGGAAATCACGAAGGATGTAAAGCAGAATTGCTTGTCAGGCAATATATTGCCATGATTTGAATATCCCTTCCAAAACTCATGTTGAAGCTTAATCCTCTAGGTGGCAGTATTGAGAAGTGGGCCTTTAAGGGCTCTGCCCTCATGAAAGAATCAATCCACTTACGAATTAACGGATTAATGGGTTAATGTATTATTGGGTTATCATGAAAATGGAACTGGTGCCTTTATAAGAAAAAAAAGAAATACCTGAGCTAGCACATTACATGCTTAGACCCTTCACCATGTGATAACCTGAACCACCTCAGGACTCTACAGAGAGTCCCCCACAAGCAAGAAGGTGCTTACCAGATGGCCCTTCAACCTTGGACTTCTCAGCCTCTAGAGTAATAAGAAATAAATGCATTTTCTTTATAAATTACCCAGGTTCAGGTGTTCTGTTATAAGCAACAGAAAACTGATTAAGACATATAAGTACGCAGAAAAGTTCTTACACAAAACAGAATTACACACATTACTACTTCCTGGGAATCCAAATGAATGACTCTATAATATGACAGAGGCCTTTACACAAATCTTCTTATGGCCTCATAGCTTTCTCTTCTAAAAGGGAGGTCCCAGTAACACAGGGCAATAATTATGCTTATTTTGCAGGAAACTGAAATGTAGAGATACTTAAAAATGCAAAGTTTTATCTAAGTAAATTCATATTCACTGAATACCTGCTATATCCCATGCATGGTGTTTTGGAGAGAAAATAGAAGTTAAAATAGGGCCCTTGACTTAAAGGAAATTTCTTTCTAACATGGGAGAAAAAAACACTAAATAGTTATTATATCAGACAGGATATTATCTCTGCAGCAAAATGCTCTCAAAAAAGCATGATAGCAGGTTAAAATGAAGATAATAGCCAGAAGATGATGGGAAAGTGATATTGGAGCAGATGTCTAAAAAGGATCAAGTTTTGATAGGTATGTGGAAGAGATCCTAATAAACGAAGAAAAATCAAGGCAAGAATAGAGGTAGGAATTACCATCATCAGGGAAGGGTGACCCACTCAGTTTCCCAAAGTGTGAAAATAAATGAGGGAGATAATCATGGGAAGGCAGTTTCAGAGCAAATCTCTAAGGGCCCTGAAAGCTTAAGAAGTTCGACATTAACTTTGAAGGCAACTGGCAACCATGGAATATTTTGAGAAAGTTCTTATAACTGAAGCAACACTAAAAGAAGATTAATCTTTCAATAAAAGTTTAGGATATAATTTAAAAAGGAAAAATGGAAGCAAAAACCAAGTATGATAGATGAACTCAATTATAATGTTGGGGAGAAGATGGAAAAGAAAACACAGGCCAGAGCCACATGACAAAGAATTGATTAACAGTTCCTGTCCCTGATGGCATCTGAGCACATGCATTCGTGTCTCTGTCTTCCAGAGGGCCCCTGGAATAAAAGTAAGTGAATATGCCTATAGGAGCAAAGGTATCTGAAGAGAAAACTAATCTGCCAATAAAATGGAGAAAACCAACTACCTTATGAAACGATTACTTCAGATCTCCAGTCATTAGAAAGACACTACCAGCATGAAGAAGGAAGATCAAGATAAATAGAGAGAATAACTGATCCCATGAAAATAAAGATAGTTCAGAATATTAAAAAGAAAAGCTGCTTTAACTAGGATTCTCAAAGAAATTCTAGAAGGTAGTACAGGATGGTATAAAATTGCAATAGAGAATAAGAAATAATTCTAGGAATTTCAACATCAAGTCAAGAAAAGCTCCAGATAATAAGGCAGAAAAAA
Source organism: Homo sapiens (assembly GCF_000001405.40). NCBI lineage: Eukaryota > Metazoa > Chordata > Mammalia > Primates > Hominidae > Homo > Homo sapiens. The sequence goes on along the minus strand of NC_000002.12, from coordinate 18,148,165 downwards.
ATTAAAAATTTAAGAAAACATTGAGATATATAGAAGATTAATTTAGGAGGTTGTAATTAGACATTTTAATTAGGAAGCAGAGATACTATGTATTATGGGATAAGAGACTTGATGTAGGTATTAAATCTTACCCAACTGCAGAAAGAACTTGTAGGGGAAATTAAAATCTAGAAGAGGATCTTGAAGACAAGAGCAGTCAACCTGAGAAGAAGCTAACCACGCTCAGCCATCAAAACAAGACTTCAGAGGAAAGGATCTTGGAGAGGTGTCTGGGTAACTGGGCCTCCACTTTGCTCCTTGGCTGCACTACTAGTGAGTCTGCTGCCATGTGTCTGGGTGTGGGCTTGGGGCCACTGTAGGTGACAGAGTCAATGATCAGGAGAAAGAGCTGGGGACATAGCAGAAGAGAGCAAGAAAAAGGTGGAACCTACAGACAGAGAGTCTGTCTGTCACCACAGCTAAGCACAACAGCCCTCAGAGGGCAATGCTAGTGCTTTATGTCAGCCTTCCAAGTCTCAAGTAACTCCTCATTTGGCCAAATCTAACCCAGAACGCGCAAGGGAAGGGGATTCTAAGAAACGAATTCCAACTTAACCACTGAGATCCAAAATCTGCTCAATAAAAGTTTGAAAAAGAACACAGAAAAAAGAATTGAGAAAATTATCACTGGAGTGAAAGAGGGGAAAAGAGAGACACACGTCTTCAGATTAGAAGGCACAACAAAGACAAACTCGGTTGTATTTTTCAAAGACCCACACCTAAAACACTTTTGTTAAATTTTGAAATACCAGTGATAATCAGAAGCTCATAAATGCTTCCAGAAAAACAAATTATATAAAAATATATAATTTGTTTGAAGGACTTTCACTAAATGTCTTATCACAAATACCAAGGACCATAAGACAAAATGGCTTGGAAGCTAGGGTTCTACACTCCAAGTGCAAGGGCCAAGGAGGTCATTTTCACGGCAAATATCAAGATATCAGTAAGCTTATTTTCAAAATACCCTTTCTGAAGAAGTTGCATGAGTGGATTTTCTAATATAATAGTACTAAGTCCAAAAAAAGAGAAAGATATGAGATATTTCAAATATGTCAGCCATGTGTAGATTAAAAATAGCTCCATATGACAGCTCTGCAACAGGACTAGAAAATTATCAGTTTAAATTAAAACAGGAAATCAGTGAGCTCCACAAATCCATCTTCTCAAAAAGTAGACACTTTCTAAGTAACAGGTGAAATTATTAAAGGCATACATTATTTTAATAAAATGGTGAAGAAAGCATGTTTTTTCTCTTAAGAAAAAAAGGCAATAGGAAATTATGTTGAAAAAGCCATTGTTCAAACATGAAACAAACTGAAAATACTAGATTATAATAAAAGAAAAACTATTTGACCTAGGTGTTAGAACTGTTCCGTTCCCCTTTAAATAACAAACAGGCCATAGATAAGGAAATATAACTCCAGTACATTATGGGGGTCTGCACTGAACAATATTTAGGTAAAAATACTAGTACATTATTTCTATTTTTATTTAGATATATTATATAAAGATACAAATATAATCAAGTAAATGAAACAAACTATCAAAAGTTGGGGAGGAAAGGAGAAATAAAAATGCACATTCACTGAGTATCCTCATCTTTCCTGGCAAGGGAAAAAGATATAGATTGTAAGACCAGGGCCAGGCACATACAAATAGGACCACAAATATTTATTAGATAAATGACGCATCCAAGAAATAATGGTAAAAGTCAATGTGTTATTTAGGATTAGGGTCAAAATTACTTTAAAGATTAAAAATTGAAATAATTAGTGTTTCCCAGTTCTAGTAAGTAGAACTGGAGTGGAGAAAACTATTGTTTTCATTCCAAGCACTTTCACGCTATTATATTTTCATCATGTGCATGAAATAAGACATCATGTGCATAATGAAAATATAAACTTTAAACAAATTAAAGGAGATGATTTTGATTACCATACTATGTTTGTATAAAATAATTATTTGCTATTTAGAAAACACATTGAAGTATTTAGGCATAAAAATGCATATGTCTGCAATGTACTCTTAAAGTCACCAGAAAATATATAGTGTGAATATGAAGAAAGAAAAGAGAGAGAAACCATGAATGATAACATTTTAAGAATATGGATTGAAGCCTCATTATCCAGAAATTCTTCGTATTACTTTTGTAACTTTTCTGTAAGCCTGAAATTATATCAAAATAAAAAATAAGAGCAAAAAATAAATAATTGTTTAAATATGTTAGGAAGGCATAGTGATGTTTTAACTTCTTGTTAAGGATATAGTTTAGAAAAATATCTAGCATCTTTGGATGCCCTTCAGTCTTTAAATATAATTCAAAAACATTACAACTTATAGAATAACCTTTAGTTAAACATAGAAGAAGGGTTTTGAATATCTCTATATATTTTCAAATCCTGATATAGATAGGTATGATAAATATATGTAATGTATATTATGTACACATTTATATATCATATGTATGCAAAAATACAAAATACTTTAAATTATATTCACATTAACTTAATTCTCAGCAATGACCTTAAGAAAAATAGAGTATTTTAACAACCTTTTGATTATTACATTGTTTCAAATTCTGATGCAGAATGTATAAGAACACACAAAGTAACTAAATGCATCTCTGGAACATGAACAAAAAGCAAATAAATTATTGTAGAAGGACCTTTTAAGTTGAAATATTTGAAATGTAATAGTTACTCTCCAAGTGATTTGAAAGTGGCTGGGTGACTTGTATGGATCAAAGATTATACTTGGCTTCCTGAAAAAAAAAAAATCAATTAAACCAGATGGGGTGGGGGAATCTGTGAAACAGATTATAAAGAAGAAACAGGTCCCTTCCAAGATGGCCGAATAGGAACAGCTCCAGTTTGCAGCTCCCAGCATGATGCACAGAGATGATGGGTGATTTCTGCATTTCCAACTGAGGTACCTGGTTCATCTCATTGGGACTGGTTGGACAGCGGGTGCAGCCCACGGAGGGCGAGCCAAAGCAGGGCAGGGCATCGCCTCACCTGGGAAGTGCAAGGGGTCGGGGGATTTCCCTTTCCTAGCCAAGGGAAGCCATGACAGACTGTACGTGGAAAAATGGGACACTCCTGCCCAAATACTGCGCTTCTTTGATGGGCTTAGCAAACAGCACACCAGGAGAGTATATCCCATGCCTGGCTTGATGGGTCTCATGCCCAAGAAGCTTTGCTCACTTCTAGTGCAGCAGTCTGAGATCGATCTGCGAGGCAGCAGGGGGAGGATCATCTGCCATTGCTGAGGCTTCAGTAGGTAAACAAAGTGGGCAGGGAAGCTTGAACTGGGTGGAGCCCACTGCAGCTCAGCAAGGCCTGCTGCCTATGTAGGTTCCACCTCTGGGGGCAGGGCATAGCTGAACAGAAGATAGCAGAAACTTCTGCAGACTTAAATGTCCTTGTCTGACAGCTCTGAAGAGAGCAGTGTTCCTCTAAGCATGGTGTTTGAGCTCTAAGAACAGACAGACTGCCTCCTCAAGTGGGTCCCTGAACCCTGTGTAGCCTAACTGGGAGACACCTCCCAGTAGGGGTTGACTGACACCTCATACAGCTGGGTGCCCCTCTGGGACAAAGCTTCCAGAGGAAGGATCAGGCTCCAAGATTTGCTGTTCTGCAATATTTGCTGTTCTGCAGCCTCCGCTGGTGATACCCAGGCAAACAGCATCGGGAATGGACCTCCAGCAAACTCCAACAGACCTGCAGCTGAAGGACAGGACTGTTAGAAGGAAAACTAACTAATAGAAAGGAATAGCATCAATATCAACAAAAAGGACATCCACACCCAAACCCTGTATGTAGGTCACCAACATCAAACACTAAAGGTAGATAAAACCACAACGATGGGGAGAAATCAGAGCAGAAAAGCTGAAAATTCTAAAAACCAGAGCAACTCTTCTCCTCCAAAGGATCGCAGCTCCTCACCAGCAACGGAACAAAGCTGGACAGAGAATGACTTTGACGAGTTGACAGAAGTAGGCTTCAGAAGGTCGATAATAACAAACTTCTCTGAGCTAAAGGAGGATGTTCGAACCCATCACAAGGTAGCTAAAAAACTTGAAAAGGGATTAGATGAATGGCTAACTAGAATAAACAGTGTAGAGAAGACCTTAAATGACCTGATGGAGCTGAAAACGATGGCACGAGAACTACATGAAACATGCACAAGCTTCAATAGCCGATTTGATCAAGTGGAAGAAAGGGTATCAGTGATTGAAGATCAAATTAATGAAACAAAGCAAGAAGAGGAGTTTAGAGAAAAAATAGTAAAAAGAAATGAACAAAGCCTCCAAGAAACATGGGACTATGTGAAAACACCAAATCTACATTTGACTGGTGTACCTGAAAGTGACGGGGAGAATGGAACCAAGCTGGAAAACACTCTGCAGGATATTATCCAGGAGAACATCCCCAACCCAGCAAGGTAGGCCAACATTCAAATTCAGGAAATACAGAGAACACTACAAAGATACTCCTTGAGAAGAGCAACCCCAAGACACATGATTGTCAGATTCACCAAGGTTGAAATAAAGGAAAAAAATGTTAAAGGCAGCCAGAGAGAAAGGTTGGGTTACCCACAAAGGGAAGCCTATCAGACTAACAGTGGATCTCTTAGCAGAAACCCTACAAGCCAGAAGAGAGTGGGGGCCAATATTCAACATGCTTAAAGAAAAGAATTTTCAACCCAGAATTTCATATCCAGCCAAACTAAGCTTCATAAGCAAAGGAGAAATACAATCCTTTACAGATAAGCAAATGCTGAGAGATTTTGTTACTACCAGGCCTGCCTTACAAGAGCTCCTGAAGGAAGCACTAAACATGGAAAGGAACAACTAGTATCAGCCACTGCAAAAAACATGCCAAATTGTAAAGACCATTGATTCTAGGAAGAAATTGCATCAACTAATGAGCAAAATAACCAGCTAACATCATAATGACAGGATCAAATTCACACATAACAATATTAACCTTAAATGTTAGTGGGCTAAATGCTCCAATTAAAAGACACAGACTGGCAAATTGGATAAAGAGTCAAGACCCATCAGTGTGCTGTATTCAGGAAACCCATCTCATGTGCAGAGACACACCTAGGCTCAAAATAAAGGGATGGAGGAAGATCTACCAAGCAAATGGACAGCAAAAGAAATCAGTGGTTACAATCCTAGTCTCTGATAAAACAGACTTTAAAACAACAAAGATCAAAAGAGACAAAGAAGGCCATTACATAATGGTAAAGGGATCAATTCAACAAGAAGATCTAACTATCCTAAATATATATGCACCCAATACAGGAGCACCCAGATTCATAAAGCAAGTTCTTAGAGATCTACAAAGAGACTTAGACTCCCACACAATAATAATGAGAGACTTTAACACCTCACTGTCAAAATTAGACAGATCAATGAGACAGAAGATTAACAAGGATATCCAGGTCTTGAACTAAGCTCTGCCCCAAGCAGACCTAATAGACATCTACAGAACTCTTTACCCCAAATCAACAGAATATACATTCTTCTCAGCACCACATCACACTTATTCCAAAATTGACCACATAGTTGGATGTAAAGCACTCCTCAGCAAATGTAAAAGAGCAGAAATCACAACAAACTGTCTCTCAGATCACAATGGAATCAAATTAGAACTCAGGATTAAGAAACTCACTCAAAACCACACAACTACATGAAACTGAACAACCTGCTCCTGAATGACTACTCGGTACATAACGAAATGAAGGCAGAAATAAAGATGTTCTTTGAAACCAATGAGAACAAAGACACAACATACCAGAAAATCTGGGACACATTTAAAGCAGTGTGTAGAGGGAAATTTATAGCACTAAATGCCCACAGGAGAAAGCAGGAAAGATCTAAAATCGACACCCTAACATCACAATTAAAAGAACTAGAGAAGCAAGAGCAAACAAAATCAAAAGCTAGCAGAAGGCAAGAAATAACTAAGATCAGAGCAGAACTGAAGCAGAGAGAGACATGAAAAGTCCTTCAAAAAAATCAATGAATCCAGGAGCTGGCTTTCTGAAAAGATCAACAAAATTGATAGACCACTAGCAAGACTAATAAAGAAGAAAACAGAGAAAAATCAAATAGTTGAAAAAAAAATGATAAAGGGGATATCACCACCAATCCCGCAGAAATACAAACTACCATCAGAGAATACAGTAAACAATTCTACACAAATAAACTAGAAAATCTAGAAGAAATGGAAAATTCCTGGACACATACACCCTCCCAAGACTAACCCATGAAGTTGAATCTCTGAATAGACTAATAGCAGGCTCTGTAATTGAGGCAATACCAACCAAAAATAGTCCAGAACCAGACGGATTCACAGCTGAATTCTACAAGAAGTACAAAGAGGAGTTGGTAGCATTCCTTCTGAAACTATTCCAAACAATAGAAAAAGAGGGAATCCTCCCTAACTCATTTTATGAGGCCAGCATCATCCTGATACCAAAGCCGGGCAGAGACACAGCAAAAAAAGAATCTCAGACCAATATCCCTGATGAACATTGATGCAAAAATCCTCAATAAAATACTGGCAAACCGAATCCAGCAGCACATCAAAAAGCTTATCCATCACGATCAAGTTGGCTTCATCCTGGGAGGCAAGGCTGGTTCAACATACGCAAATCAATAAAAATAACCCATCACATAAACAGAACCAACGACAAAAACCACGATTATCTCAATACATACAGAAAAGGCCTTTGACAAAATTCAACAGTGCTTCATGCTAAAAACTCTCAATAAACTAGGTATTGATGGGACGTATCTCAAAATAATAAGAGCTATTTATGACAAACCCACAGCCAATATCATACTGAATGGGCAAAAACTGGAAGCATTCCCTTTGAAAACTGGCACAAGACAGGGATGCCCTCTCTCACCATTCCCATTCAACATAGTGTTGGAAGTTCTGGCCAGGGCAATCAGGCAAGAGAAAGAAAAAAAGTGTATTTAGTTAGAAAAAGAGGAAGTCAAATTGTCCCTGTTTGCAGATGACATGATTGTATATTTAGAAAACCCCATCGTCTCAGCCCAAAATCTCCTTAAGCTGATAAGCAACTTCAGCAAAGTCTCAGGATACAAAATCAATGTGCAAAAATCACAAGCATTCCTATACACCAATAACAGACAAACAGAGAGCCAAATCGTCAGTGAACTCCCATTCACGATTGCTACAAACAGAATAAAATATCTAGGAATCCAACTTAAAAGGGATGTGAAGGACCTCTTCAAGGAGAACTACAAACCACTGCTCAACAAAATAAAAGAGGACACAAACAAATGGAAGAACATTCCATGCTCATGGATAGGAAGAATCAATATCTTGAAAATGGCCAGACTGTCCAAGGTAATTTATAGATTCAATGCCAACCCCATAAATCTACCATTAACTTTCTTCACAGAATTGGAAAAAAACTACTTTAAAGTTCATATGGAATCAAAAACAAGTCCGCATTGCCAAGACAATCCTAAGCAAAAAGAACAAAGCTGGAGACATCACACTACCTGACTTCAAACTATACTACAAGGCTACAGTAAACAAAACAGCATGGTACTGGTACCAAAACAGAGATATAGACCAATAGAACAGAACAGAGGCCTCAGAAATAACACCAAACATCTACAACCATCTGATATTTGACAAACCTGACAAAAACAAGCAATGGGGAAAGGATTCCCTATTTAATAAATGGTTTTGGGAAAACTGGCTAGTCGTACATAGAAAGCTGAAACTGGATCCCTTCCTTACACTTTATACAAAAATTAATTCAAGGTGAATTAAAGATTTACATGGTAGACCTAGAACCATAAAAAACCTAGAAGAAAACCTAGGCAATACCATTCAGGACATAGGTATGAGCAAGGACTTCATGACTAAAACACCAAAAGGAATGGCAACAAAAGCCATAATAGACAAATGGGATCTAATCAATCTAAAGAGCTTCCGCACAGCAAAAAAAAAAAAAAAAAAAAAAAAAAAAAAAAAAAAGAAAAAAAAAAGAAAAGAAAAGAAAGAAAAAACACCATCAGAGTGAACAGACAACCTACAGAATGGGAGAAAATTTTTTGCAATCTACCCATCTGACAAAGGGCTAATATCCAGAATCTACAAAGAACTTAAACAAATTTACAAGAAAGAAAAACCCCATCAACAAGTGGTCAAAGGATATGAACAGACACTTCTCAAAAGAAGACATTTATGCAGCCAACAGACACATGAAAAAATGCTCATCATCACTGGTCATCAGAGAAATGCAAATCAAAACCACAATGAGATACCACCTCACACCACTTAGAATGGCAATCATTAAAAAGTCAGGAAACAACAGATGCTGGAGAGGATGTAGAGAAATAGGAATGCTTTTACACTGCTAGTGGGAGTGTAAACTAGTTCAACCATTGTGGAAGACAGTGTGGCAATTCCTCAAGGATCTGGAACTAGAAATACCATTTGACCCAGTGATCCCATCACTGTGTATATACCCAAAGGATTATAAATCATGCTACTATAAAGACACATGCACACATATGTTTACTGCAGCACTATTCACAATAGCAAAGACTTCGAACCAACCCAAATGTCTATCAACGATAGACTGGATTAAGAAAATGTGGCACATATACACCGTGGAATACTATGCAGCCATAAAAAAGGATGAGTTCATGTCCTTTGTAGGGACATGGATGAAGCTGGAAATCATTCTGAGCAAACTATCAGAAGGACAGAAAACTAAACACCATATGTTCTCACTCATAGGCAGTCATTGAACAATGAGAACACTTGGACACAGGAAGGGGAACATCACACACTGGGGCCTGTCGGGGTTGGGGGGCTGGGGAAATGGTAGCATTAGGAGAAATACATAATATGAATGATGAGTTAATGGGTGCAGCAAACCAACATGGCACATGTATACCTATGTAACAAACCTGAACGTTGTACACATGTACCCTAGAACTTAAAGTATGATAAAAATAAATAAATAAATAAATAATTTATGTTTTAAAAAAAAGAAGAAACAGACACTGTGAAAACTATTGAAGGAAGCAGCAGGAAGAATTCAAAAGGCTTATGTAGTTTCATGATGATGGTGTCAGTAGACACAAGGAAGTCAAGAGGAAGAGCTAGTTTGGAAAAGAGAGATGATAAATTCAGTTTGAGATCTGTTGTGCTTGAGCTGTCAGTGGGGCATCCATGTGGAGATATAAAATAATCAAGGGAGAGTTGGGACTGGAGACAGAAATTTCAGAACCGTTCACAATCAATACCCAATATTTGTAATGATAGAAGTAAAGATTGATGTTGAAGAGGCCAGAAAGAAGAGATCTGAGAATCAAAGCTCCAGTAACTGCCTGCCTGAGGGGATAGGAAAAGGAAGAAAGGAGAAGTGGGAGGGAGGAAGAAATTGAGGATGGCAAGGTTTCCCACAGGCCTTAGGAAGAGAAGGAGTCCAGCGTGGGAAGGAGAGATGCTGCCAACCATGGACAACATGGAGCCCAAGGACATAGTGAGGGCTATTGCTTTGAGGAATAAAAAAGCCTGGCCAACTTTCAAGTAAAGATTTCAGAGAGTGGCAGCCAGATTTTAAACTATAAAGGAATGAGTGAGGATGAGGAAATGAAGGCTGTGGGAGCTGCTAAGAGTGATTAGACAGGAAGGGCACCTCCCAGAGTCCTCTAGGATGGAGCACCTGTGTGTGTTTGGTAGAGAACTGGGATTTGAAGCTGGGTTTCTAGAACTTCCTTCTCAAGTCCATTCTACTCCTAATCCCCCTGAGGTGGGGGTGTCATTGACAGCAGTGGTTAGGACAGAGTCCTGGTGCCTGCTGATGGGCAAGGACACAGGGCCCAGTTCTGGTAATCTTCCTTACTCTGAGCCCAATCTGCAAACAGCTTCCAGGCCTTTCAAAAGTGACCCAAAGGCACAACTCTGTAAATAAATTGACTGCTGATAAGACATCAAGAATTAATGAAACTCCCAGAAAACAGCTGGGCACAGTGGCTCACACCTGTAATCCTAGCACTTTGGGAGCCCAAAGTGGGAGGATGGATCCAGGGCAGGAGTTTGAGACCAGCCTGGCCAACGGAGGGAGACCCTACCTCACAAAAAATAAATTTTAAAAATTAGCCAAGTACAGTGGTATGTGCCTACAGTTTTAGGTACTTGGGAGGTTGAGGCAGGAACATTGCTTGAGCCTAGGAGTTAAGGTTATAGTGAGCTACGATCATGCCACTTTACTCCAGCCTGGGCCACAGACTGAGACCTTGTCTCAGAAACAAACAAAAATTCCCAGAAAACATTTTGAACATTTCTCAATGTATTTCTCTAAATGAAAACTCACTTAATATGGATAAATGTTTTCACCAAACCTGTTTCTTTTGACCTTTTCATTTGAGGTCTAACTCATTTTTGTTTGCTTTCTCTCTAAAAGCTGTTAGACCTTTTTCTGAGAACGTTTAGATTTATTGTTAAAATATTTTTCATTAGTAAAGCAAAAAACTAAAATATATTCAGTGAGAGATCTAAAAAAAACTTGTTGACATTACATTAAATGTTATACATTCTTTTTTTTTAGCCATTCCCAAATAACTACAGTTTTCTAATTAGTTTTTGCAGTAAGACATACAAGACTATTTGACAAATGACTTTGAGTCTTTGGGGCATAAAAATTGGCAAAAACGATGAAATTTTAGAATCATGCCCAATTTGTATAGAATATAATCTCCTAGTATTGCAAAATATTTCAGCAGTGTCATCATTAAAGTCCTAGCAGAGCAACATTTTTAAGCTATGCCAAACAGACTTAGGCTAAATCAATGTTGCTCTTAAAAAAAAAAAAACAACTGTGTAATTTAAATCCTGCCCTTGAGGAGAGACTTGCACAGTTTAGAAAACGTAGAAAGACAGAGAGAGATTACAAAGAATGTAACTACTAATCTCCTGGAGAAAAATTCTTGTCACACACTCTAAGCTTTGCTTTTTGTTCCCCCGCTTAAGCAAAACTTTGCCCCACATCCTCTTTCCTGGTTTTCTTCTCAGCATCTCACCCAGCAGGAAATACAGACGAAAAAAAAACTGCCTTCCGAGTTGCCTCCTTTTCCCTCTCGGTTGTGGTCCTAAGGAAATAATATCAGACCACAGGGATATCTTTTCCAGCCAAGAGATATTTCATTTTTATTCAAATAGTTTAAGCTCCATAAAGCATATGAAGTGATATTTTCAAACTTCAAAGGCAGATGTGTCTTTTCTCGGCATCATTTAATATTCAACAACTTGCTCCTAAATGGTTTTGCTATCTAAATATACTCTTTATTGTGGAATTTCTATTCATCTGGGTGGGATTTTAAAAATCTTTCTGCCACTATATAATCTTAAACTCGTTTTTTAAAAGCATAGAATTATTACTTTTTTGTTGCTGAAAAGATAGGAAATAAATCAAGACACATTATATTCAAGAATCATGTATTTGTCCCAATGCCCAGGAGTGAGATGCTTTTAAGAAACAGCATACTTAATGAAAGCGCATTCCAGAAGTAATGTAGGAAGTGGTGTTTGGAGCATGGTTACATGGCTGCTTATGTCTCTTCATTGAGTTCATGCCCAAAATTTGAAACTCTGTCCCTACGTGATTCCTGCCTCTAACTGTGCCTCTTCCACCATCTTTGACCAGGCAAATAATACTCTCCATTTGTTACCTGGTATGTGCCACTGTGGCTATATTTACAAGGCATTACAATTATTCTAAGATTCTATTTAATTCATCCTGTTGTCCCGGGACAAGCATAGTATCTAGACTCTGGTGAGCACTTAGCAAATTCTTACGGGAAAATAAAGAAAATAAGGAGCTAGAAACATCACTCTTTTCTAATTCTGGGTTTGGTGGCATATCTGTCTAAGAGCTAAAACAAAAAAAAGCAATAGTGTGACAGTTGTGGGGACAACAACCCTCAATATTCTGCAATAGCTACAACACACAACACAGGATGCGGTAGGGTGGGCCTACTCAAATCCAGATTCCCTGATGATAAGCTTTATAGTCAACACCACAACATGGTACCACTTCTTGTGGAGAATTTAAGACATAGATAGAGTCATCTAATGGCAGGACAAAGTGCACGTATTCAGACTTCAGAAGCATGGAAAGGCCTGGGCTGTGAAGGTGAGGAGTTGAATTCTGCACAGGACTCTCCAACCAAAAGTGATATCATCTCACACACTGCATTCACTCCACTGGATGTGACATACCAAATCAGATAGATCACATCAAAGAAGGTGCTTCTCTCTTTAAAATTCTTGATGAGATTCTTTCTTATAAGGTTTATTTTAGCAATTTCACATTTGAAATCAAGTGTGTCATTTGCTATCCTTACTTAACTCTAAGCAGCTCATTTTTCCTCTAAAGCCTCTTTCCTTGAGTTCTCTCGAACTAGAAACAGCTTTCTTCTCTGGTGTTTTGGTACTTAAAGGGTTTTAGCCTCATTCATCTATTATTTTTAATTCACTTCCTTTTTTCTGATGGAGTCATAAGGTTAAATCCATCTTAATTAGCATATACTGAGCAGCTACCTGTTCCAGAATCATAATGCACCTGCATCTTCTCAGAGCTCCAGCAGCATTCCCATGGTACATTATTTCTCCTGCTTTTTCCCTTTCCCCCATCCTCCCAACTCTTGTTCCTCCTTCAGGCCTCAGGACAGATATTATTGCTTCTGAAAAGCTTCTCCCTATGACTCCACTTCACCACCTACCCCAAGACTAGACTGGGCTCCCATAATATGTATTTCCTCAAGTCGCTGTATTCAATTCTATCAGAGAACCTGTAACACCATACTGAATTAGGGTGAACCCTGTGAAAATCTGTTTTCTAGGTCAAAACTTTAGCAAATTTAGGAAGTGATTATGCCTTATTTACTATCTTATGCTCAGACCTAACTCAGTAGCTGACACGGATGCCACTTCAATTAAGAAGATGGCAAATCGAGGAATGTGAGCTTTCTAATGATAACTTTGGGGAAAGTTGCAGCTGATTAAACTGTCCAGAGTTCAGAATAAATGCCTGGATGCTAGTCTTAAAGCAAGTCTCCAGTAATGGGCCACAAGTCTCTGCCATTGTTCCATCTGTCATCTTTATTGAGGTCTTGGATGAAGACATGGGAACCAGAAGATCACATTTTCACGTGATATAAAGCTGGAAAATACTGTGACTATATTTGATGTTGGAGTTAAAATTAACAAAAAATATCTTCACCAACAGGATGAAAACAGACAAGATAAAATTTAAAGGAATAGATAGATGCACTCTTAGTTCCCTGTTATAAAGAAGGAATAAAGTGGCTTCCCAGGGCAGTAGCAGTTTTGAAGATTGAGGTTGATTGTGAGAGTTCTAACTGTTGACATAAGTACCAAATAAAAGAAGCGTTGACAAGAGTGGAGAGTCCACTGTTGTGAAGGGAAAGAAGTGCCAGGGTAGGGAGCCTAGGTAGATTTCCAAGCCAGTCCACATCTAACCAGGTAAATGAGACCAGGGAGTGAACCAGTAAATAGATTCTCAAAGGTGATCCTGGTTCAATACTTCAACCTAGGACCATTACTTGTGGTCACAACTCTGCAAAGTGTTTCCTAATAGGGCTGTGGAATTTACAGAATCAGAGCAACAGATAAATGTAGACACTTCCATTTAGGGTTAAAAAATGAATTGCTTAAGGATGTGCAAGGAAGGATAACTTAGATTGACAGAGAATTTTCAAAGTTATTTTTATTTTAAACTATGAAATATTTCAAACATCAACTGACCAGAAATACAACCTGAGCCAACAGGATTCTGAGGCTGAAGAAATCTAAAATCGTGAAGCTGTTAGGCAGTAAAGGAAGACATGCAATGCTCTGCTCAAGGGAAACCGTGGCTCCCTGAGATCTGCCTGCATCAGACACTTCTGAGAATCTGGCTGTGTTCCAGAGGGGCTTTGACACAGGGGCAATGAAGCATGTTCTAAGGACAATGGTCAGAATAGTGAGGGCATCGGTATCCACGACTTGAGGGATGCTTGAAGCAGCTTAGGCCATTCGATCTGAAGGAGATGAGGCCCAGGGGAGCTGTGACAGCTGGCTCACAATGATTGAAGGGCTGTCATGGGCACATGTGGAATTGACTTATTTGTGTGACTCCAGAGGACTGAGCAAGATCAATGAGTAAAGTCACACAGTGGAAGCAGATCTTAGCTCAGGGTAGAGAATTTTCTAACATGAGCACTGTCCAATGAAAGGGTGTGGGCCATTAGAGGAAATAAGTGCCTTGCCCCTGGAGGCCTCAATTAGATGTCAGACATCATTTCCTGGGAGGGCTGATCAGCAGATTCCTATATCTAAGGAGAAAGTTGGGGGAGATCACCTTAGAGTTCTTTACAACTCTAAAGTTTCTTTGGTTCTATCTATGATGTAGGGCTGAGTGATCCATCTCAGATGAGCTACTCCTTCTTAGGCCCCATTTTTCAAATAAGGAAACTGAGATGTTTGAAAATTAACAAAAAGGTCACAGAGCATGTTAGTTGTGGAGGTGAGACAGAAGAAACTCAGATCTTCTCCAGCCCTGCTAGTTTCACTCCCTCTCTATCTTGGTGCTTCTTAAAATGACTCCAATCAATGGCCCCACTTATTTTTTAATGGGCTGAGCCACCTTGAAAATAAGCCTATATATTTTAAATGTGTTTAAACATTCATTTAACCACATTTCCCAGATAAATGGTTAACAAAATATGTTTCTACTGGGAAATAAATTTAAAAACTCTTCTGTTGCAACAACCTTCAGGCTGTCTTTGTTCACATTCCTTCAACCCTCAACCAATATCTATGTGTCATGCCCTGACTTAATCTGAGAAATAAAAATAAATAAATTAGACACTTCCAAGGTGCTTGTAGTCCCAGAGTGTGGGAGATGGACAAAAAAAAAAAAAGCCCCACTACAATGCAATGAATAAATTATCAGCAGAGGCATAAGCTTAATACAATGTTATGGAAGATAAAAAAGAAATTTCTACGTCTGTGTGAGAAACTTAAAGAAGGCTCCACAGAGGAGGTGACATTTGATCTGCAACTGAGGTATGTAGAAACTAAGACAAAGGAAACAGCAAGTGCACTGATCTCAAGATGTGAAATCATATATGAGACCTACGGAGCTCACCGGGTCTGAAATACCAAGTGTTTGAACAGGAAGTGGTGGAGAATGAAACCACAACACAGAACCATGCTTGGGAATTTGGAAGTGACCACATAAGCAAATGACTGATTGTATCCATATTTTAAGAGGATTACTTTGGCAGCTGGATTAAAAAATAGATACTGTCTTAATTATATTGGAAGAGCTCATATATTAGAGGCAACTAATATAGTCCAATATCAGTTTCTTTATTGGTTTATTGAGCCCCTTTTTCAACTTATTAACAATATGACATTCATATTGCCCAAAAACACATTAAAAAGAAAAACAGAAACATTAGAAATTTCTGATTCTGTTTTTCCTGCTTATTTCAGGGGACAGCAAACTTTTTAGAGTAGAGACAATATGATTATACCACATACATCCAACACAACTCTGAGCCATATGAGGCCTCAACAAATGTCTAATAAATTGACATTGGAGAAAATGCATTATTTTGAAAACTAAAGATGAGGAACAGCAGCAGAGTACACCAGTCACATTTTAACGTAAAAACAATTTGGAAAAATCATCACTTTTTTGTTCTTTCTAAATTTCTAATTGACTAAATAATATTTATATAAATGTATGGAGTACGATGTTATATTTTAATGTATGCATACATTATAGAATGATAAAATCGGGCTAATTAACATATCTTCCACCTCCCATATGTATCTGCGTTTGTATGTGGCATAAGCATTTTAAATTCACTCCCTTAGGAATTTTGAAATAAACATTATGTTATTATTAACTATAGTTTCCATGCTATGCAATAGATCTAAAAAATGTATTCCTCCTAATTGAAACTTTGTATCCCTTGACCAAATTCTCCCCATTCCCACCTCCCCCTCAGCCTCTAGTAAACATCATTCTATTCTCTACTGCTATGATTTTAGATTCCACATATAAGTGACATCATGCAGTATTTGTCATTGCTGTGCTGGCTTATTTCACGTGGCATAATGTCCTCCCTCACTATTTTGTTCTAATCACCACTTCTAAGACATTCTTCACCAATTGCTCTGCCTGGTTAGATGTAGAGCACTTTCTGCCATCTAAACCTTTTAACCCTTCTTTTGGTAAATCACACATGAATTTTACTCCCAGCCCATGTAGTGTGATTGGAGTTGAACCCACTCCCAGCTCTAGAGGTAGATCCGTTTGGCCAGAGAAAATCAGCATACTGCATTCCCCAGTCCTTAGTGATTTATTTAGTGATGGTTAAAACACCCGATCAGAGCCATAAGATGCCATGAAACCTTTGCTGGGATTTCTAGAGAAGATGCTCTCGGTTTTTGCCATGAACTTGAGGCTGGAGGTAGGGAATGCAAGACCTGGAATTCCTGCAGCCATCCCCTGATCTCAAAGAGCCTCCCTGGGAATGAGACCAACACAACAGGAGTCAGAGCCAATCAGTGGGGAGAAACCACTTCTGAGAGCACGGTTTGAGTAAGATCCTCCATTGGCGTTTTCATTTACATTAGCCATAGATTCTGTCTTTTGCTTACACTACTTTGAATTAGGCATTCTGTCACTTACAATCCAGATTTCCTTACAGAGATGTGACTTCAGGGGGAAAACTGATGACATAAATTCATAATTTACCCATCTACCTATTAAGCTAATTGTCTTCGTTATTAAATTATTTTTTCCAGAAAAAGTTACCCAGATGACATTTTTCCAGTTCCACTATGCAGAAGCTACACAGGAAGTCCATTCTTCAGCCTCCATGCTTCCACAACACTGTGAGACTTCTTTGGCCCTTACCTTATCTCATAAAGTAAACGTTTGTGGGCTTATCTTAATGTCTTAATTGACTGAGGGCTTCTCGTAAGTTAGACCAGTTTCTTGCTCATCTTTGAATTTCCCACACCCTCTAGCACCAGGTCTGATGTGTAGCAGGTGCTCAAAACATGTTTGATAAAGTAATTTGCATTTATTCTATAAATTCAATACAATCTCTTGCAGATTATACAAAATTTAATTTTGAATTGTCTGGCTATACTGTTCTTTTTTAAAAAATCAATAGAAATAAACATAAAATTAGTAAAAACATTTCCTTTTGAATCATTCATAGATTCTGTAGGATTGAGCATCCCAAGTGAAATAGAACTAGTCATAATTTTTGAAGAAAAAATTTAATATTTTTAAAATTATGTTTTATAGGCAATGTTGAAGAAAGCCCTTTAGTCTTATTTTCATAGAACTAGGAAATCATATTTTGTCAAGAGTGAAATACAAACCTGAACACAGAGAAGCTCATAAAGCTATATTTGGGCTTTCTTATAAATAATAATAATTCATTAGTTCTCATTTAAAATATCAAAGCAAAGGACAACTATTGCATTAATATAAGTTATCTCCTTTTCTTTCCTAACCATTTCAGCTTGTTCATGTCAATTAATGTCCTGGATTCCCATTGTCATCATGGGAAATCTAGCACCTACCCACACTGTCTATAAATATTTACTGCCCAAAGAATGTTTATTGAACTAAAGTAAGGAAAGGGAACTGGCTTTCTGGAGTATTTATTATGTGTCGAGCACTTTTTGGAGATGTTTTAATTTGTTACCCCACTTAATCCTTGTGGCAATTATTTCATTTATTCATCTATTTATTCATCCTTCAATAAATATTATTAATGTCCTACTATGTGGCAGGTATTGGATAGGTGCTGAAATGCACTGGTAAACAAAACAGAACTATAGAGTTTACAGAAGGGAAAATAACAGAAAGAAATAGTTAATCCATGGAAAATATTGGGGGTAGACGAGTGGGAAGCGAAGTGGTAAAAACATTAAGATAAGGCTTCTCTAAGGAACTGGCATTTTAGACTGTGCTGGAAGACAAAGCAAAATCAGCTATGGAAGATCGAGGGGGAAGATGACCAGGGCAAAGGGAAGAGCATGGGCAAAGGCACCAAGGCAGCAATGAGCCTGCTGCACCAGAGTGACGGAAATGAGGGCAGGAAAGCGACTAGGAGGGAATACTACCTACTTCCATTTACAGGTGAGGTAATTAAATAACACAAAGGCTCACCAAATTACCTCATGTCCCAAGCTAATGTGTTGTGTCAATCCAGGATTTAAATTCAGACTTCGCTGACTCAACCGTTCATGCTTTTTCCAGGACATGGTCTACAAACCTTAAAAAACAAGTCAGGAGCAAAAAGCTCATAATCCTGCCCTAACCAAGGTTTAGGTCAGAATCATTCATGCCCAAAATTATCATTTTGCCTCTTATATTACCCAACTGCTATGACCCAGGCTTTTTACTTAACTTCAGCACAGCACTAGTCATTTCCAAAACACTTGTATATCATGGCATTTATGCTGACAAAGCAGTCACCTAGTAAGGAAAATAAAGTGAAGTGCAGTAAACAATGTAAGGAGCAAAAACCACCCTATTTTTTCTCCAAGCTGAGCAAAAAGGGGATGCCAAATTATAATAGAAAACCAAAAATATGAAAACATCAATAATAGTCTATCATTTCTACATTGTACTTTGAAGAATATGTAGTTCTTTCTCCAAACAACCTGAATAAGCAGAACAGAAAAAAAAAGTTCACATTTTTTGTTACAAATGAAAAACTTGAAGCACAGCAGGCAGAAAAAAGTCTTTTTGCTCAAGGTCACAAACTAGTAAGTATCAGAATCAGATTGTATTCCAAAATTTCTGGCTCAAAAGGCCGTATCTTTTCCTCCCTACCTATTAGGTGGCTGCCCTAGAACAAGAGAAAGAATAGCAATGATCTTATATAATAGTTGGACATATTTGGGGGGTACATGTGATAGTTTGATACATGCATATAGTTTGTAATGATCAGATAAAATAACTGGGATATTAATCACCTCAAACATTTATATCCTCTTAGTGTTGAGAACATTTTAATTCTTCTAGTTATTTTGAACTGTACAGTACATTGTCATTAACTGTAGTCACCCTACTGTACTATCGAACACTAGATCTTACTCCTATATAAATGTATTTTTTTTTACCCATTAACCAACCTCTCATCATTTCCCGTCTACCCTTCCCAGCCTCTGGTAAGCAGCAATCAACTATCTCCATAAGATCCCAGTTTTTAACTCCCACATATAATTGTAGGTATTTATCTTCCTGTGCCTGGCTTATTTCTGTACCTGGTCACTTAATATAATGACCTCCAGTTCCATCCATGTTGCTGCAAATGACAAGATTCCATTCTTTTTATGGCTGTATAATATTTAATTGTGCCTCTATACCACATTTTCTTTATCCATTCATTTATTGATGGACACAGGTTGTTTCCATATCTTAGCTATTGTGAATATTGCTCCGATAAACACTGGAGTGCAAATATTTCTTCGCTATCCCAATTTCCTTCCTTCTGGATATATACCTAGTAGTGGGATTGCTGGAACATATGATAGTTCTATTTTGTAGTGTTTTGAGGAACCTCTATAGTGTTTTCCATAGCGGTTATACCAATTCACATTTC
The DNA here is from genome assembly GCF_000001405.40 of Homo sapiens. Taxonomy (NCBI): domain Eukaryota; kingdom Metazoa; phylum Chordata; class Mammalia; order Primates; family Hominidae; genus Homo; species Homo sapiens. The sequence continues at coordinate 18,128,403 of NC_000002.12, read as the reverse complement.
CACCAGCAGTGTATGAGCATTCCCCTTTCTCCACATCCTTGCCAAAATCCATTACTATTTGTCTTTTCATTAAAGCCATTTTAAGGTGAGGGGACATTTACTGTTTTGTGGCTTTTTTATTTCTCTCATATTAGAGATGTTGAACATTTTTTCAAATACCTACTAGTCATTTGTGTGTCTTCTTTTGAGAAATGTCTATGCAGATCTTTTGACCATTTTTAATTGGATTATTTGCTTTTATGCTATTGAGTTCCTTATATATTCTGGTTATTAATCCCTTGTCACATGGATTGTTTGCAAATATTTTCTCCTATTCTTTAGATTGTCTCTTTACTCTGTTGCTTGTTACCTCTGCTGTACAGAATCTTTTTAGCTTGATGTTATTCCATTTATCCATTTTTGCTTTCCTTGCCTATGTTTTTGAGCTCTTACCCAAAAAGTCTTTGCCCAAACCAATGTCCTGAAAAAATCTTTTGATTCTTTTTTCTAACAGTTTCATAGTCTTAGGTATTAGATTTAAGTCTCCAATCCACTGTGATTTGATTTTTATATGATGAGAGATAGGGGTCTAGTTTTATTCTTCTGCATATGGTTATCTGGTTTTCCCAACACCATTTATTAAAGAGACTGTCCTTTCCCTAATGCAATGATCTTAAGCACAAAGAAAATCCTTGTGTGGAAATACTAACAGTCAATTTTGCAAGCATTATTGATGTGAGTGGACTGGGGAAGTACTAATAACCTTGAAGCCCAAACTCGAGAACTCTTAATGGCTTATGACATCCAAATTTCCCATATGCATAAGTTAGTAAGGCTAATGAGGGCGTATCTATTTGGTCTTTAGCTTCATAGATCTTTTATGTGCCAACTTGAGGAAATAGAAAATAATTTGCATTTGCTCCTTTGATTGTTTTGACAAGCATGAATATTTCAAAACAAGAGAAACGATTATCTTTTGGGTGCTTATGTCGTACCAGAAATTGTGCAAATTATGTTGCATGCATCACCTCATCTACCTTTACAGATCCCTGTAAGGTCAATACTATGAGTCCATACAGGCCTCATAGTGTTAAGTTTACTTTCCTGGACACACAACCAGTAAAAAGTTGAGCTGGGGGCATTTATCCAGTGTTCTCCTTGGCCCATGTATTTCTGTTTACAGTATGAATCTGCTTACTAAACCCCCTTTCTCAAAACCTATCAAATCCTTTTTCAAGTGCTCATTTAGCTTAGCTCCTGTGTGAATTGGCCAAAATTCTGAGTGAGTGGGGTTCAAACTCCCGGCATTTTCTTTCATAGATTTTTTTCTTAAAATAGTTTTGATCAGTTTCCATAAAGGTGGTTTGAGTGGCTAAAAAGTAATAAAATAATCAAATATGATTGGCCAAAAATTCATTCTTCTTTACCTGAGACAGCATCCTCTTAGACAGAGAGGTCAGCTTCTCACGGGGCTTAGGAATATCAGAAATAAGAAAGAATCACCTCTTTCACCCAGAGTGACATTGAGGGCCAGTGGCCTCCTATGCCTGAAATTGGCATCATTCCTGTGACAAAGAGGAAGTCATCCCTTTCTTTCTGTCCTTGTTCTTAAGAAGAGTTTCAAAAGGAAAATTATAAAATTTAAATAAACAAGTAAGGGGGGGTTTAGGTTAAAGAGATAACTAAAGGTTCTGTTAATTTTAAAACGACACAGCTTCATTCACTTCTAAGCTTCTCCAACATTATCACTTTCATCCAAAATCTCCCTCTATTCCCACCCAGACCCTTCTCACAGATTCCTGACTGGCTTCTTGGCTTTCAAATCTCTATCTTTTAAATTGTAACCAGAGCAATATGTTTAACCACAAAATTAATCATCTATTTCCCTGTTTGAAAGCCCACAGTGGCTTCCAATCTCTCCTTTGGTAAAAACCAAAATTCTTCAAATAGAATTTTTGTCAAGGCCCAGAACCTCCTGGAGTTGACTGAATCCTTAGTTAGGAGCCCCCAGATCACCCTGAACTTCTTCATCACGACATATATTACTGATGCAATTAAATACTTGGTTGTACAATTATTTGCTTCCCACAGACTGTCAGGGCTGTGAGGCCAGGGATCCTGATGACCCATAGCACAATGCTTAGTAGCCCCTCAATAAATATCTGATGTATGAACAACCCTATGTGGAAGAAGACTTGGCTGCCAGGTTAGCAATTTTTATCTTTTGGATATAAGAAACCATTGAAGATTTATGAACCTGGAAGTAACATGCATAAAATTTTTCAATGATTTGCCCCAGAACATGATTAAGAGAATTTAGCACCACCTCTGCCATTTAATATTCTGAATGCCTCCAGAGAATTTTGGATGTCTCCAAGATGGCAGCCCCCAGGGGTCAATAAAGTCAACTGAAAAAGCTAATGTTTCTCAGGGATGGTCTTCAAGACCACTCTGATCCATTTTCTGAGGGAGGAGGTGTAAAGTACAGGACAGAGACCACAGAACTTATACCACAGAGGACTTAGGCCACAGAAAACGCAAAATTGATGACATTTAAGCTGCAGAGACCATTGAGTATCAGTTGAGCCAAGGGCCATATTTCAGAAAGATTCAGCAGCAGTGAAGCTTAATCTATGTAGAGTGTAAAATGTATTCCTATGGATTGCCACAATACATAACTAGTTGGCAGATTTGCATAAACATGTATTTATAGGTTGTCAATATAAATGTAAAGGATGTGTGCATGAGGGGTTGTCTCTCTCATTTATCTTAAGGGGCTCCTTGGGAGCTGAATAATATGGCATTGCTTGTATTCACAGGAGTCAGGTTAGAAAAACAAGAAAACAAACTGAATTCAGTCCAAAATACTGTTTTATTTTCAAGGCCATCTGTGCACAGACATAGCCCAGAGGCAATAAAAAGTTGCATTATTCTTCATTATTGTCCTGGAAGAGTACTCTGGCTTAATAAGGGAGCCCTGATTTTGTAAATGGGAAAAAGCAACCATTCACTGCGATGGAGAATTAACCTGCTTTTGAAAAATAAATGAATTTTGTTCCTGAGTAAACTTTGGTGATTCAATTCCTTTTTTTTTTTTTCACTTTGTACTAATAGTCTAATACCACGGAGCTCTGTATCTGGTTAATGCTTTGGTTTCTGTATCTGAAGTTATGTTTCTATTTTACTAATAGGTTGGTGCAAAAGTAATTGTGGTTTTTGACACCATTTCTAAAAGTCATATTTGATCAGTTTGTGAAAAACTTGTTTATATATATTTTTTCCTTTCTTGAGACTAATTTTTCAAGATGAGGAAAAGTGAGTGAGGGGAGGAAGTTGTTTGTGTAGCCTTGAGGAAAGCCCAAAAGCTTTTCCTTCCTTTAGGGGTTATATGACCTCACACAAACTTCTGAAATGTTTTACCAAATCACTATAATTCCTATACCGTTTGCCAGAGGATATCATATGTTAACATGTTCTTTGAGACTGGATGTTGAATACTCAATTTCTTTTTTCAGATGCAGAGATTTTTGAGTGCTTAGGTTTGCACTTCTAACATTATAGCACAAAACTGGTTTTGTATCTAACTGGACTATGTCACCAGGACAAGTGAGGACCCCATGGAACACTTTCTGCTTCAGGCTGTCCGTGTCTTCTGAGTTGCTCACACTTGGGTGCCAAGTGTGTCTTGCAGCACTCTGTGCAGCAGAGAAGCCCTAAGTAGGAAGCCTACAGAGCAGCCAGAAGGCAATGCACTATATGAGGAATACCTGCAAGTGACCCGGGAGCCAGGAGCAGCTTGCCCAGTGAGCTCCTCCATCTGTAGCATCTATGGAGGTCACAGGACCTGGCACAAGGACTGCAGGGACAGCACAGATGAGGCTGGGGGAGCCCTGGCAAGAAAGCTGCATGAAGAAATGAAAGCCAGTACAAATATATCTTGGGTTTCCCAATCTTGAGATAATTTCATTAATTAAAACTTCTTAAGGCCATGATTTTATGTGTGAGATAACATTGCAGAGTGGAAGGAGTAGAAAATGTGGAGCCAACTCTGATTCAAATCTTGGCCCTAAACTAAGTTAAACTTGAATAGCCAATGACGTGACTTGGAACAAGTTTCTCTCTGTGCTATGACTTTTCCATTTGCAAAACGGGAATGACAGCATATCCCTCCAGTAGCGAGGTGAAGATTAATTTGTATATCTATCTATATCTATATAGATATAGATACGTACACACAGACACACTCTCAGTATGGTGACTGGCACAAATGCACATTCAGGAAATGCTACTGAAATCAGAATTTGATTAAAGTAGAAATTTAGCATCCAAGAGCAGTTTTCTGTGGATGATTTGAGAAGTATAATTTCTTAGGTTTGTGGGCTTTGTCTTTTAAATTCTCCATGATGTGCCTATATTGCAATGAAAAAAATACATATCATTTTATAGTTTAATTTAAAATAAAATTTTATTTTCTTTAAAAAAAATAAGTAAACAAACTTGAATCATGTCAATCCTTTGCTAAACCTTCCAGGAGTTTCCATTGCAGTCAGAATAACATACCAATCCTCCTTCCCTGGCTGATGGGGATCCACTTGATCTAACCTCCCTCTCAGGCCGATGCACCAGCTCGTTTTTCAGTTCCTCAAACCCTCCAAGCTCGTTTCCACTCCAAAGCCACTGTATTTGCCATGCTGTCTGCATGGCCTTTTCTCCCCTTTCATTCAAATCTCAGATCACTCAAATCTCAGATCAAATGTCACCTCCTCCAGAAGACCCTCACTGACCACCTCATTTAAAGTATCCCCTGGCATTGCCTCACCTGTGACTGTTTTTGTGGTGCTCACCTCTATCTAAAATCAGCACACTTACTCATGCAGCTCTTTATCTGCCCAGCCCATTAGAATATGAGCTCCCATTCAAATATGAGCAGAGTTCACTTTCCCTTATCTACAGATCTTAGAACAGTGCCAGACACATAGTAAATAGTGCTAATAAATTTGTTAAATGAATTACTTCATGCGCATCCATTGCCAACTAAATTCTCCCTGACTCTGGGGATATGATGGCTGCCCAGCATCTCAGGAATGAGGCTTCATCTAAGATCAGTCCCAGCCAGAAGGCAGCTGTCGTTTCAGGAAGCCACGAGATTTAATGCAATGATGAGCACTTGTATTAAATAACTGGGCTGTGATCTAGACCAGAACAGCATAATTGGAATAACTAATGACTATAAGCAAGATCTTGAAAGATTAAAATGTTAAAATCTTTACAATGTTTAAAACCAATGTTAATGGAAAGTTCAACCCCAGACATAGTGTAGGTGGTCTAGGTGTCCCCTCTGCTTTTGTATGTCTTTATTCATTCATCAGGTCAACGTGAACCTGGAAATGTGCCAGCCCTGTGTTTAGTTCATTCTCAAAACTCTTACAGAATTGTTCCTCATATATTATTTCAAGGGACTTTTGAACACAGTTCCCTAACTCTACATCCTTAGAAATACATATTCTATGAATAAATAGAACTGCAAAGGAATCTTTAGAAAAGAAAGAAAGAAAAAGAAAACATTTCTCATGTAAAGCCAAAACAAAGCCTCTATAATGTCCTCTTGGGCCAACTGCAACAAACGCCTTATCTCTACATCCTCTAAACACACAACTCTGGAATCTGTGTTTCTCCTCCTCCCTTCATCTTAGCCTTGCCATGGTTAATGCAGCATCATGGCGTCATAGAAAAAAATACTAGCTTTTTCAAACTGACTATGCTTAAAATCTTGGCTCTTATTTTTTAAATACTTTTGTTAAACAGTTATTTAAACTGTTTTGCTTCTTTCATTTGTAAAATGGACATACTTATAACCTCACAGAGTTATTGCAAGAAATAAATGTGAAAAACTATGTGAAGTTCTTGGCACATAGTAGCTGTTCAAAAAATGGAAGTTACTATTTTTTAACCACCTTATTGAGGTATCATTGACATACAGAAAGCTGTACATATTCAATGTATAGAACTTAATGCATTTGGAAATAAGCACACATGTGTGAAACCATCACCAAAATTCATGCCATAAACATATCCATCACCTCCAAAAGTCTTCTCCACCATCTTTATTTATTAGTAGTAGTAGTAATAAGAACAGTTAATATAAGATCTTTCTTAGTACATTTTAAGTATGCAATACAGTTTTGTCTATTATAGGCATTATTCTGTGCAGTGGGTCTCTATGATCTATATTCATCTTGTGTAACTAAATCTTAGTAGCCTTTGACTAGTAACTCCAGTTTCCGCCTCCCCCCGACCCCTGACAACCACCATTCTATTCTCTTCTTTTATAAGTTTGACTATTTTTAATTCCACACATAAGTGAGATCATACAGTATTTGTTCTTCCGTGTTTGGCATATTTCACTTAACACAATGCCCTCCAGGTTCATCCATGTTGTTGAAAATGACAGGATTTTTTTTTCTTTTTATGCCCCAAATAATATTCCATTCTATGCATATACCACATTTTCTTTAACCATTCATCCATCAATAAACATTCAGGTTGCTTCCACATCTTGGGTGATGTGATGTTACAATGAACGTAGGAGTACAGACATCTCTTCAAGATCCTAATTCCTTTGAGTATATACCCAGAAGTGAGAGAGACTGCTGGTTCACAGGGTAGGTTTAATGTTAGGTTGTTTTGGGGGCTTTTTTTTTTTGGTATGTTTGTTTTAGTTTTAGTTTTTGTTTTGAGAAACCTCCATACCCATTTTCCATAGTGGCTGCACCAATTTACATTCCTACCAACAGCGTACAGGGTTCCCTTTTTATCCATATCCTCACCAACATTTGCCTTTCATCTTTTTGAGAATAAGCAATCTAACAGGTGTGAGGTGATATCTTATTGTGGTTTTCATTTGCATTTCATTGATAATTAGTGATGTTGAGTACATTTTCATATATCTGTCGGCCATTTGTATGTCTTCTTTAGAGAAATGTCTACTAGTTCCTTTATCAATTTTTTAATCTGATTATTTGATTTTTTGCTATTGAGTTATATGAGTTCCTTATGGTTTGAATGTTAATCCCTTATCAGATGTGGTTTACAAATATTTTCTCGCATTTTTAGGTTGTCTTTTCATTTCATTGATTATTTCCTTTGCTTTGCAGAAGCTTTTTAGTTTCATATAATCCCACTCATCTATTTTTGCTTTTGTTGCCTGTTTCATATCCGAGAAATCATTGCCAAGGCCAATGTCAAGAAGCTTTTTCCCTATATGTTCTTCTTCTGTTATGATTATTATTACTACTACTGCTGCTGCTGCTAGTATTATTGCTTCCTCTCTGTCTGTCTTGTCAGTTGGTCTAGCAGTTGAGCCAGAAAGCATTTATTCCTACGTTCTTTTTAACCTTCATAATGCTACAGTACCAGTAGAGGATCTTAAAACATGGTCAGGTTTATTTTCCTAAAATTTAACAGCTGAGTTCAGCAAACATCTATTGAATCTTTTCAATATGTCAATAAGTGTGGTAGACAGATGCCTCTGTACATATAGATTAAGGAAGAAGCCAATCTATGGTGTGATTTCAATGGTAACATAAATGCCATGCAGTCCTCTCCCAGATTTCCTTTTTCTGATGCTTGCTGCTCTGAATTCAACCACTTATGCACTATTTGTTTAGTTTACTCTCAGTCAAAATGTAAACTCCCCTGGGAGAGCTTTTTTGTTGTTGTTGTTCTTTCAAAACTTCTGTTTGTAATGGAGGGACTGGAGAGCATTTTCCTGAAAGCAAAAGAGAGTGAGGATTCCAACAACTAAAGGAGGAAGGGGATGCAAGGCATCTAAGACAGTGACTTGAGACCAAGTCAGTCCTTACCCAGCCTTTTTCAAGGGAAAGGCTACAAAGCAACTGCCAGAGAGCTGCATTGCTGGATGGAATGATTACCTCAGTGAGGACCAAGTGTGTGGCCCACCTGGAGCCTTCCATAGAAGATAATGTCTGTCTTGTCCCTATCTATCCCTCTGGGGTCACATGAATTCCACCGAAGCTGCAGCACTAACCCATCCCAGGAGCTGGTAGGATATATGGCTCCTCTCCCCACTGCCATCTTTGTCCTGAATTGGTGATAGCATTCTGAATCTATGAGCTTCCCAGTGTCAGCTCTGGTTGGACATTCTCTTGGGAACAAAGCCAGGCAGAGACACAGGGTAAGAGCTGATGATGCCTCCTGCCTGCCATTGCTACATTTGGTAGCCTGCCAGTCTAATTGCCAGAGAGCGGTTCACCAGCTTCCAACTGCCTTCAGTTTCATTTCCAAAGAGCAATGCTGACAAGTGATCGCCTCCGTGTCTCCTGGCAACAGCCAACTTATAAACACACATAATTAACCTCCCCTGTCATCATGGAAGAAATATGTTTAGATGGTTTAGAAATTCAATTTAATTTGGTAAGTCATACACCAGGCCTGGCCTGACTCCCATGAAGGAGTCAGAGTTGTATAAATAATGTCTCTTGCCCTCAACAACCTAGTAATGTACTGGAGAAGAGAGACTCAAACACAGAAACGGACCCTTAGTAGCATCTAAGAGAAGTCTGATTAAAAGATGCATGGAAGCTGACTGTCTCTGGTGTGCAGCAGGGTGAAATATTTATAAAGAGAGATGTTTTCTCAATTGGAATGGATTCCACATAAAAAAGTGTGAGAAATTGGTACTGACCATATTAAGCGTAAGAGAACAAGCTACTGAAGGCGAAAAAGCAGAGAAGGCAGGGCACCACAGCAGAAGACACAGCCCGTGCAGGACAGAGGGAGGAAGGCTAAGACTTACACATGGTCTGGTGCAGCGGAAGTTTGTGGAGACCACGTGGCAGAGATGAGGTTGGTGTGAAGGAAGCTGGGATCAGATTATGGATTATCAAGAGCTTTGAGATTCTGCTAAGAAACTTCTTCTTTCAAGTAATTAGTGTTTGACAAAGGTCAAACACTCCCCGCTGTGTTTTAGGAAAGGTAATGTAGCGGCTGGATGGGGAGGACCTGTGATGCAGGCCAGATACCAGGGAAAAATAGGAAACAGTTATCTATTTCCGAGACCCTGGCGGACCCCACTCAAAGGCAAACTGCAAGGGGAGAATGGGAACAATCAAAGCCATGAGTTCTGAAAATAGCCTCTATCTATGTACATTGATAAGCTTTCCCATGGAAAATGGGTAGCTGGTAGATTGTCTGAGCCTCAGTCTACATCCCAGTGAATGCTGGCAAACACAGATAGAACCCTGGGACCAGAGACAGGCTCCAAATTCAACAGTCATGCATCCGCTGAGTCCCCAGGGGCCTGAGCACAGTGGGCTAAGCCCTGTGCAGGAGAGTCCTGAGCTTTCTAGAGCGTTCCTCTTGACAGACAGATCTACCCAGTTCAGAGCTACCCTGTTACCCAAAATCCCTGTAGAAAACTCCAAGGAGACTTGGAGCAAGGAAACACCACATTCGCTGACTCACTCTCTCATCTACAGCACAAATATTTGTGGAGTTCACTCCAATGATTAAATCCTTTCGACAAAGGGAAAGGACTTTACAGTGCTCTTTATTAGTTATTGGATTTTCCATTTCTCAATGCGAGGGTGGAGAAGAAGATGCAATAAAGGCAAACAGTTTGAAATTGATTGTTTGCTTCTCTCCAGGGTAATTTCCTGGTAACTGACAAAATACACAGACTATTAGAAGCATTCGTGGACTTATGGTAAAATCTTTTTCTTTGTATTTTATATTTTTAAAAATCCCTTAAGCCACAGTTTTGTTTTTAATATAGGGTCTGGAGGTTGGTGGCCCTCTTCTCACAGCTCCACTGGGCAGTGCCAAAGTAGGGACTCTGTGTGGGGGCTCCAACCCCATATTTCCCTTCTGCACTGCCCGAGCAGAGTTTCTACATGAGACCCCTCCCCTGCAGCAAACTTCTGCCTGGACATGGTTGTATTTTGAATTGTGAGGACATGAGATTTGGCAGGGGCAGGGATGGAATGATACGGTTTGGCTGTGTCTCTACCCAAATCTCATCTTGAATTGTAATTCCCATAATCCCAACCTGTCAGGGGAGGGACAAGGTAAAGATAGTTCAATCATGGGGGCAGGTTTTTCCTGTGCTATGCTCATGATAGTGAATAAGTCTCCCAAGATCTGATGGTTCTATAGGGTGCAGTTCTCCTGCACAAGCTCTCTTGCCTGCCCCCATATAAGACATGCCTTTGCTCCTCCTCTGCCTTTCACCATGATTGTGAGGCTTCCCCAGCCATGTGAAACTGTGAGTCTATTAAACCTCCTTTTCTTTGTGAATTGCCCAGTCTTGGGTATGTCTTTATTAGCAGCATGAGAACAGACTAATACAGGGAGAAAAAAAGAAAGAGAAAACCACAAAACAACCAAAAAAATAAAAAAATGGCAGATGTAAGTTCTTTCTTATTGATGATAACATTTAATGTAAATTGACTAAACTCTCTAATAAAAAGACAAAAAGTGAAACAAAAAATGAGAATAATAACACAAACCTCATACGGCAGCTGTGTGCAGGTTCACCATCATGTGGCAGTGGAAAGCACTGCATTGCAGAGCTCTAGGGGGCGCCTTTCACAAAGACTACAAAGTAAATGGTGCCTGCTGCAGCTGAGCAGTGTACAACCTGCACAACCATATGGGGCAGCCCTGGCTCTGAAAGAAGATCAGGGGAATTAAGGCTATGAAACCACTTATTAAACTGTAACAGCTGTTGTAATTATCACAACTATTGTCAGGGATATCCAAAGGAATGCCTGAATCCCAACAGTGATCTGCCTCTAGCCAGGAGCATTACTGAGCCATGAGCAGCTTGAATTGAAGACCAGACAGCAACGAAATCCTAAACACTGCAAATGGAAAATCTTACAGGCCATTTGACCTGTGGAAGAAAGTAGATCAGGGATTCCAGAAAAATGGAGCAAATGTGAACAGTAGCAGATGTACGTTGTGTTTACTTCGCTCCAGACATTCTTCAAAGCATGTTACATGTATTGTCTCATTAAATCATCACTCCCACTCAATTAGTGGGTACTGTTATCACATCCAATTTACAGACGACAAAATGCTACACAGGACATTAGGCATTAGACCAAGCTACCATGGTTTGTTTGTAAGCAGTGGAACAGAGAGCTGAACCCAGGCAGTCATCTCCAGGGCCCGTGATCTCAACCACCTCCCTGGTCTGAGCAGAGGACAAACCTTACTGCACCATGAGGCTTCCTATGCAGAGTCTGAGCATCAGCCATCCATTAGGGAAACAGACAAGGCCAACAAATCAAGCACAGAGGGTGCCTTGAGCACTTCCTAGATGCTCTGTAAACTCCATGGGCCCAAGGAGGAGAGTATAAAAACATGACAAGGTTTCTGCCTTTCAGGAGCTCACGCTGTATCTAAGACAATACTAAGGCAAAAACAAAAACAAAACAGGAGATAATTAATCAAAAAAGCACATTCAATCATGTGGTAGGGGTTAAGCATCCCTAATCCAAAAGTCTGAAATCCAGAATGTTCCAAACTCTGAAACTTTTTGAGCACAGACATGATGCTCAAAGAAAATGCTCATTGGAGCATCTCAGATTTTGGATTTTCAGATTAAGGATGCTGAACTGGTATAATGCAAATATTCCAAAATCAAAAAAAAAAAAATCTGAAATCCAAAACACTCTGGTCCCAAGCATTTTGGAAGAGGGAACTCAACCTGTACCATGCAGAAGGATTTCTAGCAAAAGAAAAGTATTTTCTGAAAGGTTTTCTGAAGGGTCTGGAGCCTGATTAGGGTTTTGGAAAGAACAATTTGAAAGGAGGTGGTAGAGGGAGGTGGCTCTCTCCAAATTTCTCTCTCTCGGTGTGGATCCGGGTGTGGGTGAGTCATTGAGGCAGAGATACTACTCTGACTTGCCAGAGATACTACTTGTAGAAATTAGTTGAAGGGAAAAACAAATAATCTGGATATGATGGCAATAGTTTCCGCCCCAAGCTGATACTCATTTTGTCTTTTATATTGCTCCCTTGATGAAGGAGGTGAGGTTTTTACATTATTATAAAGCAAATAAAACCATGAATGATGTTTGATAATATATATAGCTCATTTTATGTACCTTTAGGTAATTTTATTATGTAATACTTATGTAGCTTTTATATTATACAATATTTATATCAGGTTTCAACAGTTATAAAGTCTTCCCCTTCTTTGGAACTATATTAGTCCATTTTCACACTGCTGATAAAGACATTACCAAGACTGGGTAATTTATAAAGAAAAAAAGGTCTAATGGACTCAGTTCCACATGGCTTGGGAGGCCTCGCAATCAAAGCAGAAGGTGAAAGGCATGTCTTACCTAGTGGCAGGCAAGAGAGAACATCAGAGCCAAGTGAAAGGGGAAACCCCTTATCAAACCATCAGATCTCAAGACTTATTCACTACCATGAGAATAGTATGGGGGAAACCACCCCCATGATTCAATTATCTCCCACCAGCTCCCTCCAACACCATGGGGGAATTATGGGAGCTACAATTCAAGATGAGATTTGGGTGGGGACACAGCCAAACCACATCATTCTGCCCCTGGTCCCTCC